>NC_000001.11:50614441-50765956 GCF_000001405.40 Homo sapiens | reverse complement strand
CCACGCCCAGCTAATTTTTTGTGTTTTTAGTAGAGACGGGGTTTCACCATGTTGGCCAGGCTGGTCTTGAACTCCTGACCTCAGGTCATCCACCTGCCTCAGCCTTCCAAAGTGCTGGGATTACAGGTGTGAGTCACCATGCCTAGCCCTATTTTACTCTTTTTAATGTTGATATTTTAAATTTTACAAAGTGGTAACAGGCAGTATTAACATGAAATGTGTTTAGTAGTTTTTTCTTTTTTAAATCATGTGGAATTTGAGGTCCAGAAGCCCATAGAGGGCCTGTAATTTGGCTCAGTAATAGTCATTTAGTCATATATAGGGATTATGCTTTTCATCTTAGTTATTGTAAGATTGCAGTAATGTGCTACATTCTGATTAGAAATGGTTAGTAGAGCTACAGTATCCAACTTTCACTACATTTTTTTTCTCTGAATGGAAATAATTGGACTATATTAATAGCCACTTGTTTTATAGGAGCAGAGTCCCCTATCCTTAATGTTTAGTTGCCTTCTAGAAATTATGAAGGTTTAATACTATAAATTAAGGAATAAATTCCTTCCAAATGACCTTGAAAAAAGGTATTAAATTCTGTAGATAATGTATTGGTTAAAATTTGAGACTCTGAAGAAAAATAAAAACACTATTCCAAATGATCTATTTTTTAGGCATTTAAATGGCAGATAGAGTGTGTGTAAAGTGTTTTCAGTTTATTGGAGTGTAGCCAACTAAACTGAATGACCTTTTGCTAATTATTTCTCTCCTGGGCAGGCAAATATCCACTTGGAATTATTGCTTACTTAGGTTTGAGTTAGACCTTTTTTCTTTTTGTAGCCTTCTTGTCACTATGCCCTGGAAAATTCTAGAGAAAGATTGCTGTTAAAAACATAAAGCAAAGAATTGTACTCAGAGCAGCATTTGCAATATCCATATTAATCTGTAAGATAAATTGTTAGGTGAAATGATTTATGGTAATAACTTGGTTTGTGTTAACATAGAGCCACATGAATGTGAACCACCCTAGTTTCCAACGTAAAGATAGACATTTTCATGTAAAATTGAATTAATGTGTCCAAAATATGGAGGAATAAGCTCTTGTAAATTACATCTCTGACAGGTTAGTTTATCTGAAACTCTAAATCTGAGAAAACATTGAAATTTTTCTTGGCAGTAATGAACCTTAGAAAATTAACAGAATTTCTACTTTTGCCCTTGAAGGAATAACTGATATAGTACCTCTCTTCCTGCTGTACACACCTGGAAAGCTGGAGAAAATATATGAAACAACTGCTTGCAGGCATTGGGCATTAGGCAGCGTAGGCCTATGATTCATGAGAAATGGGAAACAAGCAAGGTGAGCCCTGTAGATGCCCCTGATTTCTGCATGGAGAAAATTTCTATACAACAGTCCATGAAAAAGGGAATGTAAGCAGAGCCCAACGGTCCTGCAGAGTTAAAGAGCTAGGAGATTCCCTGAGACTGAGATTGGAATGTATAGGGCTCAGTACTAAGAGAAAGATTGCTACATAGGGAAACATGCAGGTATCTGAATGATGCTTTCTGCAAATCTTTGGCTGAATAGTAATCTCTACACGATTGAGTACGCTGAACAATTCCTCGACCTTATACGTAAGACTAGAATACTATTGAATTCCTTCCCACCAGAGGAAAAAGACTTTGTCGCACACAGGGTACAGTTAGTACTGAGACCCCAGAATAAATATTTTCCATATTAGTAATTAAAACTGAGGAAGTTAAAAATATTTCTTAATTAATAATAGTAATGAACTCCTTACATATTAACATAAATAAGACTCTTAATGAAAAATAATTTTTCAGAACAAAAAAAGTAATGAGAAAGTGGTATTCTCTTAGGTGCATTGCAAACTCTTCAATATCTGTCCATATAAAAGCTGGATTCTTATATCTCCTCCTCCATTTATTCTGTTGCAGTATGTTACTTCTGTTGAAGTATATAAAGAAAATGCCACCAAACAGCTATATAGTTGGTGAAGGGAGGGATATTTTAATAGTCAGATAATTATGGACATTCTTAATTGATAGTACACTGAAATTTGGGAAATGGTGGTTTCTTAAAAGTTTATTGCAATGTAAAACCTGAAACCACTTCAATGAAATTTTAATGTTCTGTTATATTAAAATCCATTGGTCATTTGGAAAATATTGGTTCACTTTGCTATGATATTAACAAAATGTCGATACATTATGTGATATCAATAATTTACTCTGATGGATTTAACAGTTTAACTGTTGAAAAGGTCAGTGAATATGAAGACATAGCAATAAAAACAATGCAAACTGAAGCACACACAGCAAAAATACTGGGAGCTAGAGGCTGGAGAGGGAAGGATGTTGTCTGAACGACTTCTAGGCAAATATAAAATGGTACAATGTATGTCTGATTAGAGCCCCTAAAATAGAGGAGAGAGTGGAAAGGGGGAAATTTTAACGAATAACTCAATGCTAGCCAAATTTGGTGAGAACTATAAACTCACAAATCTAAGAAGTTTCATAACAACAAGCAGGAGTAACTCAGAGGAAACCGCATCAAGGCACATCATTATCAAATTGTTAAAAATCAGTATTAGAAAAGTCTTGAAAGCAGCCAGAGCCAGAGAAACAAAGATACATTTTATATTTTATTTTGTTTTATTTTATATTTTATGTATTTATTTTTTGAGATGGAGCCTAACTCTGTCACCCAGGTTGGAGTGCAGTGGCGTCATCTCGGCTTACAGCAACCACTACCTCCTGAGTTCAAGTGATTCTCCTGCCTCAGCCACCCGAGTAGCTGGGACTACAGACGCATGCCACCATGCCCCAGCTAATTTTTTTGTATTTTTAGTAGAGACAGGGTTTCAGTATGTTGGCTAGGCTGGTCTTGAACTCCTGACCTCAGGTGATCACCTGCCTTGGCCTCCCAAAGTGCTGGGATTACAGGTATGAGCCAACGCGCCTGGCCTACATTCTATATTTTAAAAGAGAGATTTATCAGATGAGTAGGTTGTGAAAATTTTCTCCCATTTTGTAGGTTGCCTGTTCACTCTGATGGTAGTATCTTTTGCTGTGCAGAAGCTCTTTAGTTTAATTAGATCCCATTTGTCAATTTTGGCTTTTGTTGCCATTGCTTTTGGTGTTTTAGACATGAAGTCCTTGCCCATGCCTATGTCCTGAATGGTAATGCCTAGGTTTTCTTCTAGGGTTTTTATGGTTTTAGGTCTAACATTTAAGTCTTTAATCCATCTGGAATTAATTTTTGTATAAGGTGTAAGGAGGGATCCAGTTTCAGCTTTCTACATATGGCTAGCCAGTTTTCCCAGCACCATTTATTAAATAGGGAATCCTTTCTCCATTGCTTGTTTTTCTCAGGTTTGTCAAAGATCAGATAGTTGTAGATATGTGGTGTTATTTCTGAGGGCTCTGTTCTGTTCCATTGATCTATATCTCTGTTTTGGTACCAGTACCATGCTGTTTTGGTTACTGTAGCCTTGTAGTATAGTTTGAAGTCAGGTAGTGTGATGCCTCCAGCTTTGTTCTTTTGGCTTAGGATTGACTTGGCGATGCAGACTCTTTTTTGGTTCCATATGAACTTTAAAGTAGTTTTTTCCAATTCTGTGAAGAAAGTCATTGGTAGCTTGATGGGGATGGCATTGAATCTATAAATTATATTGGGCAGTATGGCCATTTTCACAATATTGATTCTTCCTACCCATGAGCATGGAATGTTCTTCCATTTGTTTGTATCCTCTTTTATTTCACTGAGCAGTGGTTTGTAGTTCTCCTTGAAGAGGTCCTTCACGTCCCTTGTAAGTTGGATTCCTAGGTGTTTTATTCTCTTTGAAGCAATTGTGAATGGGAGTTCACTCATGATTTGGCTCTCTGTTTGTCTGTTATTGGTATATAAGAATGCTTGTGATTTTTGTACATTGATTTTGTATCCTGAGACTTTGCTGAAGTTGCTTATCAGCTTAAGGAGATTTTGGGCTGAGACAATGGGGTTTTCTAGATATACAATCATGTCATCTGCAAACAGGGACAATTTGACTTCCTCTTTTCCTAATTGAATACCCATTATTTCCTTCTCCTGCCTAATTGCCCTGGCCAGAACTTCCAACACTATGTTGAATAGGAGCGGTGAGAGAGGGCATCCCTGTCTTGTGCCAGTTTTCAAAGGGAATGCTTCCAGTTTTTGCCCATTCAGTATGATATTGGTTGTGGGTTTGTCATAGATAGCTCTTACTATTTTGAGATACGTCCCATCAATACCGAATTTATTGAGAGTTTTTAGCATGAAGCGTTGTTGAATTTTGTCAAAGGCTTTTTCTGCATCTACTGAGATAATCATGTGGTTTTTGTCTTTGGTTCTGTTTATATGCTGGATTACATTTATTGATTTGCGTATATTGAACCAGCCTTGCATCCCAGGGATGAAGCCCACTTGATCATGGTGGATAAGCTTTTTGATGTGCTGCTGGATTCGGTTTGCCAGTATTTGATTGAGGATTTTTGCATCAATGTTCATCAAGGATATTGGTCTAAAATTCTCTTTTTTGGTTGTGTCTCTGCCTGGCTTTGGTATCAGGATGATGCTGGCCTCATCAAATGAGTTAGGGAGGATTCCCTCTTTTTCTATTGATTGGAATAGTTTCAGAAGGAATGGTACCAGTTCCTCCTTATACCTCTGGTAGAATTCGGCTGTGAATTCATCTGGTCCTGGACTCTTTTAGGTTGGTAAGCTATTGATTATTGCCTCAATTTCAGAGCCTGTTATTGGTCTATTCAGAGATTCAACTTCTTCCTGGTTTAGTCTTGGGAGGGTGTATGTGTTGAGGAATTTATCCATTTCTTCTAGATTTTCTAGTTTATTTGCACAGAGGTGTTTGTAGTATTCTCTGATGGTAGTTTATATTTCTGTGTGATCGGTGGTGATATCCCCTTTATCATTTTTTATTGCATTTATTTGATTCTTCTCTCTTTTCTTCTTTATTAGTCTTGCTAGCGGTCTATCAATTTTGTTGATCCTTTCAAAAAACCAGCTCCTGGATTCATTAATTTTTTGAAGGGTTTTTTGTGTCTCTATTTCCTTCAGTTCTGCTCTGATTTTAGTTATTTCTTGCCTTCTGCTGGCTTTTGAATGTGTTTGCTTTTGCTTTTCTAGTTCTTTTAATTGTGATGTTAGGGTGTCAATTTTGGATCTTTCCAGCTTTCTCTTGTGGGCATTTAGTGCTATAAATTTCCCTCTACATACTGCTTTGAATGTGTCCCAGAGATTCTGGTATGTTGTGTCTTTGTTCTCGTTGGTTTCAAACAACATCTTTATTTCTGCCTTCATTTCGTTAGGTACCCAGTAGTCATTCAGGAGCAGGTTGTTCAGTTTCCATGTAGTTGAGCAGTTTTAAATGAGTTTCTTAATCCTGAGTTCTAGTTTGATTGCACCGTGGTCTGAGAGACAGTTTGTTATAATTTCTGTTCTTTTACATTTGCAGAGGAGAGCTTTACTTCCATCTATGTGGTCAATTTTGGAATAAGTGTGTTGTGGTGCTGAAAAAAATGTATGTTCTGTTGATTTGGGGTGGAGAGTTCTGTAGATGTCTCTTAGGTCTGCTTGGTGCAGAGCTGAGTTCAATTCCTGGGTATCGTTGTTGACTTTCTGTCTCGTTGATCTGTCTAATGTTGACAGTGGGGTGTTAAAGTCTCCCATTATTAATGTGTGGGAGTCTAAGTCTCTTTGTAGGTCACTCAGGACTTGCTTTATGAATCTGGGTGCTCCTGTATTGGGTGCATATATATTTAGGATAGTTAGCTCTTCTTGTTGAATTGATCCCTTTACCAGTATGCAACCTACTCATCTGACAAAGAGCAACCTACTCATCTGACAAAGGGCGAGTATCCAGAATCTACAGTGAACTCAAACAAATTTACAAGAAAAAAACAAACAACCCCATCAAAAAGTGGGTGAAGAACATGAACAGACACTTCTCAAAAGAAGATATTTATGCAGCCAAAAAACACATGAAAAAATGCTCATCATCACTGGCTACCAGAAAAATGCAAATCAAAACCACAATGAGTTACCATCTCACACCAGTTAGAATGACGATCATTAAAAAGTCAGGAAACAACAGGTGCTGGAGAGGATGTGGAGAAATAGGAACACTTTTACACTGTTGGTGTGACTGTAAACTAGTTCAACCATTGTGGAAGTCAGTGTGGCAATTCCTCAGGGATCTAGAACTAGAAATACCATTTGACCCAGCCATCCCATTACTGGGTATATATGCAAAGGACTATAAATCATGCTGCTATAAAGACACATGCACACGTATGTTTATTGCGGCACTATTCACAATAGCAAAGACTTGGAACCAACCCAAATGTCCAACAATGATAAACTGGATTAAGAAAATGTGGCACATATACACCATGGAATACTATGCAGCCATAAAAAATGATGAGTTCATGTCCTTTGTAGGGACATGGATGAAATTGGAAACCATCATTCTCAGTAAACTATCACAAGAACAAAAAACCAAACACTGCATATTCTCACTCATAGGTGGGAATTGAACAATGAGAACACTTGGACACAGGAAGGGGAACATCACACTCTGGGGACTGTTGTGGGGTGGGGGGGAGGGGGGAGGGATAACTTTAGGAGATATACCTAATGCTAAATGACGAGTTAATGGGTGCAGCACACCAGCATGGCACATGTATACATATGTAACTAACCTGCACATTGTGCACATGTACCCTAAAACTTAAAGTATAATAATAATTTTAAAAAAATTAAAATAAAAGAGAGATTTAAGAATAATAAATACACAGCACTTTGGGAGGCTGAGGCGGGCAGATCATGAGGTCGGGAGATTGAGACCATCCTGGCTAACACAGTGAAACCCCGTCTCTACTAAAATCACAAAAAATTAGCTGGACGTGGTGGCTGGTGCCTGTAGTCCCAGCTACTCGGAAGGCTGAGGCAGGAGAATGGTGTGAACCTACGAGGCAGAGCTTGCAGAGAGCCGAGATCGCACCACTGCACTCTAGCCTGGGCAACAGAGCAAGACTCCATCTCAAAATAATAACAATAATAATAATAAAAAATACAGACTTCTATCAGAAGCAGCGCACACCAGGAGGCAATGCAGTAAGTGTTGAAGAAATAAAATTTTCACCTAGAATGCTATATTGAACAAAATAATCTTTCAGAAATGAAGACTGGAGATAGTTTTCAGATAAAAGCTATAAGAGATGTTAAAGTAAGCACCCAGGCAGCCTGAAAGAAAACGATAACAGATGGAAGATTAAGTTAATACAGAGAAATGAAGAGCACTAGAAATTGTAAATATTTGGTTACACATTTTTTAAAAACCTTTTCTGTATTTTTAAATTTATTTAAATGAGAATTGACATTTAAAAGTAGAAATTATAGCAATGTATTATAGCATTTGTAAAATGTGTACAAGTACAGGTATGACAACAATAACATGAAGAATAGGAAAGGGAACTAGAAGTATTCTGTCGTAAGACAGATTTCTGTCTGATTTGAAGGTAGTCTTTGTTGAGTTAAAAATGTATGTTGTGCTGGGCGTGGTGGCTTATGCCTTTAATCCCAGCATTTTGGGAGGCCGAGGCAGGTGGATCACTTGAGGTCAGGAGTTTGAGACCATCCTTGCCAACATGGTGAAACCCTGTCTCTACTAAAAATACAAAAGTTAGGCCAGACATGGTGGCTCACTCTTCTAATCCCAGCACTTTGGGAGGCCAAGGTGGGTAGATCACTTGAGGTCAGGAGTTTGAGACCAGCCTGGCCAATATAGCAAAACATCGTCTCTACTAAAAATACAAAAATTAGCTGGACATGGTAGCATGTGCTGGTAATTTCAGCTACTCGGGAGGCTGAGGCACGAGAATCAGTTGAATGTCAGAGGCAGAGGTTGCAGTGAGCTGAGCTCATGCCACTGCACTCCAGCCTGGGTGTCAGAGTGAGACTACATTAAAAAAAAAATTATGTTGTAAACTTTAGAGCAATCACTGAAACCGTGAATACACATAATGGTCATTAAGCTCAGTGTTGAGATGAAATAGAGTACTTAAAAAATACTCAAAAATCCCCAATGAAGAAAAGAAGATGATAAATGAAATAGATAAGACCAATAGAAAAGAAATAAGACCATATAAATAATTATAATACATATAAATGATCTCATGTTATAATAAAAGGTAGAGATTGTTACACTGAATAAAAAAGGGAAACCCGTTTGTATGATATATACAGGAAACCTGCTTTATAAAGTATAGAAATTGAATAAAAACTAAAAATGAAAAGAACTGGAAAATATGTATGAAAATTGTAATCATAACCTGAAGGATCTATGTTAGTATGGGATGAGCTAGACTCTGGACAAAGAATATTATGAAGGACAGATGGGGACATTTCATAATAATGAAACTGTAGATTCATCAAGAAGACATAAGTATCCTAACTGTGTATATATCTAATAACAGAGTTTGAAATATTTAAAATCAAAAACTGGTAGAATTGAAGTAAGAAATGGACAAATCCAAACTGACAGAACTGAAGTAAGGAATGGATAAATTCACAATTGGAGATTATAACACTCCTGTCTCATTATAATGTTCAGAACAACAGACAAAAAATCTGAACAGCATAGAAACCAATTTGACTTACTTAAAATGTATATAATACTCCTCATTATAACAGCAAAAGACATGTTCTTTTCTTGGGCAGTTGATCATTAAGGTAGAACATATGCTCAGTCACAAAACAAATTTAAAATTGTTTAAATTAAGTGACAAGTGTTCTGGCAACAATGGAATTAAGTTAGAAATCACAAGAATTTGGAATATCCCTGTATATTTGGAAATTAAACAACATATTCCTAAATAAACCATAGGTCAAAGAAGAAATCACAAGGGAAAGTAGAAAATATTTTGAACTGAATTGTGATGAAAACATGATGATATGGTTTGGCTGTGTCCCTTCCAAATCTCATCTTGAATTCCCACAGGGAGGGACCTGATGGGAGGTAATTGAGTTATGGGGGCAGGTCTTTCCCATGCTGTTCTCGTGATAGTGAATAAGTCTCATGAGATCTGATGATTTTATAAGGAGGAGTTTCCCTGCACAAGCTCTCTCTCTTTGCCTGCTGCCATCCATGTAAGATGTGACTTGCTCCACCTTGCCTTCCAGCATGATTGTGAGGCCTCCCCAACCATGTGGAACTATAAGTCCGTTAAACCCTTTCTTCTGTATAAATTACCCAGTCTCAGGTATGTCTTTATCAGCAGCGTGAAAATGGACTAATACAGTAAATTGGTACTGAGAGTGGGGCACTGCTGAAAAGATACCTGAAAATGTGGAAGTGACTTTGGAACTGGGTAACACGCAGAGTTTGGAATAGTTTGGAGGGCTATGAAGAAGACAGAAAAATGCAGGAAAGTTTGGAACCTCCTGGAGACTTGTTGAATGGCTTTGCTCAAAATGCTGATAGCGATATGGACAATAAAGTTCAGGCTTAGGTGGTCTTAGATGGAGATGAAGAACTTGTTGGGAAATGGAGCAGAGGTGACTCTTGTTGTGTTTTAGCAAAGATGCTGGCAGCATTTTGCCTCTGCCCTAGAGATTTGTAGAACTTTGAACTTGAGGAGATGATTTAGGGTATTTGGCAGAAGAAATTTCTAAGCAGCAAAGTGTTCAAGAGGTGACTTGGGTGCTGTTAAAGGCATTCAGTTTTATAAGGGAAGCAGAGCATGTAAGTTCAGAAAATTTGTAGCCTGACAATGTGATAGAAAAGAAAATCCCATTTTCTGAGGAGAATTTAAGCCAGCTGCAGAAATTTGCATAAGTAATAAGGAGCCAAATGTTAATCCCCAAGACAATGGGGAAAATGTCTCCAGGGCGTGTCAGAGGTCTTCACAGCAGGCCCTCCCATGACAGACCCAGAGGCCTAGAAAGAAAAAGTGGTTTCGTGGGCTGGACCCAGGGTCCCTGTGCTGTGTGCAGCCTAGGGACTTGGTGCCTTGCATCCCAGCTGCTGCAGCTGTGGCTGAAAGGAGTCAATGCAGAGCTTGGGCTGTGGCTTCAGAGGGTACAAGCTCCAAGCCTTGGCAGCTTCCATGTGGTGTTGAGCCTGCAAGTGCACAGAAGTCAAGAATTGAGGTTTGGGAACCTCTGCCTATATTTCAGAAGATGTGTAGAAGTGCCTGGATGCCCAGGCAGAAGCTTGCTGTGGGGGTGGGGCACTCCTGGAGGGCCTCTGCTAGGGCAGCGCAAAAGGGAAATGTGGGGTCAGAGCCCCCACACAGAGTCCCTACTGGGCACCGCTTAGTGGAGATGTGAGAAGACAGCCACTGTTCTCCAGACCCCAGAATGGTAGATCCACGGACAGCTTGCACCGTGAACCTGGAAAAGCCACAGACACTCAGTGCCAGCCCTTGAAAGCAGCCAGGAGGTATGCTATACCCTGCAAAGCCACAAGGGCGGAGCTGCCCAAGGCCATGGGAGGCCACCTCTTGCATCAATGTGACCTAGATGTGAGACTTGGAGTCAAAGGAGATCATTTTGGAGCTTTAAGATTTGACTGCCCTGCTGGATTTTGGACTTTCATGGAGCCTTTAGCCCTTCATTTTGGCCAGTTTCTTCCCTTTGGAATGGGTGTATTTATCCAATGCCGGTACCCCCATTGTATCTAGGAAGTAACTAACTTGCTTTTGATTTTACAGGCTCGTAGGTCGAAGGGACTTGCCTTGTCTCAGATTTGGACTGTGGACTTTTGAGTTAATGGTGAAATGAGTTAAGACTTTGGGGGACTGTTGGGAAGGCATGATTGGTTGGAAATGTGAGGACATGAGATTTTGGAGGGGCCAGGGGCAGAATGATATGGTTTGGCTGTGTCCCCACCCAAATCTCATCTTGAATTCCCACGTGTTGTGGGAGGGACCTTGTGGGAGGTAATTGAGTCATGGGGGTGGGTCTTTCCCATGCTGTTCTCATGATAGTGAGCAAGTCTTATCAGATCTGATGGTTTTGTAAGGAGGAGTTTCCCTACACAACCTCTCTCTGCTTGCTGCCATTCATGTAAGATGTGACTTGCTCCTCCTTGCCTTCCACCATGATTATAGGGCCTCCCCAACCATTTGGAACTGTAAGTCCATTAAACCTCTTTCTTTTGTAAATTGCCCAATCTCAGGTATATCTTTATCAGCAGTGTGAAAATGGACTAATACACATGGCATATCAGCATTTGTTTGATACTGAGAAATTGGTATTGAGAGGGAAACTTATGGTTCAAATGCTTAATTACAGATAAAGAAAGTTGTAAAAGCAAGGACTAAAGCTTCCATCTAAGAAGTAGGAAAAGTCCATTTCATTTCCAGCCAGTATGGAATAACAGGAATCAGATTTACTGTCATTCCTATTACAACTAAAAACCACCCAAAAGGCTTAGTGGGAACAAAATTGGTAATAGTGTCTGTTCCTACCAGCTAGATTGGAAAACCTCATAATTCATGTGGCTTTGGTTACACTACTCAGAAGGATCTTTCCTCAGTGGTGGAGAGTACTAGTACAAGATTAAATACTGCTTGGGCAATGCTGACTAACAAATCTTAAAAGCAAAACACAAAAGGATTAAATTGTGTCTAAGTAACATAACTGCATCCCAAAATTAAGCTCAGGAATATTTATAGGATTACAAAAATATCCAGCACTTAACAAGATAAAATTTACAATGTCAGGCATCCAATAAAAAATTACCAGGCACGCAAAGATGTAGAAAAACCTGGCCCATAATGAGGAGAGAAATTGATCAATCATAACCAACCCAGGTCTAACCTAGATGTTAGAATGAGCAGATAGGCTGGGCACAGTGGTTCACGTCTGTAATCCCAGCAGTTTGGGAGGCCAAGGTGGGCGTATCACGAGATCAGGAGATCGAGACCAGCCTGGCCAACGTGTTGAAACCCCGTCTCTGCCAAAAATACAAAAATTAGCTGAGCATGGTGGCGTACCCCTGTAATCCCAGCTACTCAGGAGACTGAGGCAAGAGAATTGCTTGAATCCTGGAGGCAGAGGTTGCAGTGAGCCGAGATCGCACCACTACACTCCAGGCTGGGCTACTAAGCGAGACTATGTCTCAAAAAAAAAAAAAAAAAAGAACAGATAATGACATTAGAGCAGTTATTATTAACTGTATTACCTGTGTTCAAAAAGAGAGAGGGAAGGTTTAAAATAAGGCATTGGAAATGTAGAAATGACCCAGTTGAACAACTAGAGTTGAAGACTGTGATGTCTGAAGTGAAAAGCCACCAGATGAGATTAACAGCAGATCTGACATTGAAGAAAATACTGGTAAACTTGAAGACATTGCAATGGAAGCCACTTTGTAAAACACTTTGGTAGTTTCTACATAGGTTCTCAAGAGAAATGGAGGCATATGTCCACCAAAGACGTGTACATTATTGTTTATAGCAACTTTCTTTGTAATAGCTCCAAACAGGAAACAACCCCAAATGTACATAAACCAAATTGTTGTATATGCATACAGTGGTATACTTATTAATAAAAGGAGTGGGCTATTGTTACCTGCAATGATATGGAAAAATCTCAGTTCATTTTGAGTGAAAGAATCCAGAATACATTCTGCAATTCCATTATGTAAAATTCTAGAAAATTCAAACTAAGGCACAGTCATAGAAATCAAATTAGTGGTTCTCTAGGGAAGAGGTTGGGGATGGTATGGTGGAATTACCAAGGGGCACATGGAAACCATTGAGGGTGATGGATAAATTCATAACATTGATTAAGGTGGTGATTTCATTGTTGGATTCAATTGTTTAAACTTATTAAATTTAGATTTCAAATATGTGCAGTTTATTTTACGTTAAACACATCTTAATGAAGCCGTTAAGACCTTTTGAAGAGGATGATGGTTGGGTGCAGTGGCTCACACCTGTAATCCCAGCACTTTGGGAGGCTGAGGCAGGTGGAACACTTCAGGTCAGGAGTTCGAGACCAGCCTGGCCAACATGGTGAAACCCCATCTCTACTGAAAAATACAAAAATTAGCCAGGTGTGGCGGTGTGTACCTGTAGTCCCAGCTACACTGGAGGCTGAGGCGGGAGAATCACTTGAACCCGGGAGGCGGAGGCTGCAGTGAGTTGAGATCACCCCACTGCACTCCAGCCTGGGTGACAAAATGAGACTGTCTCAAAAAAACAAAACAAAACCAAAAAAATGAGCAAATCAAACCCAAAGTAAGTACAGAAGCATAATAATATGTATAAGAGCAGAAAACAGTAAGTGGAAAATGGATAAGTAGTAGAGAAAATGAACAAAACCTAAAGCTGTTTTTTAAAAAGATTAATAAAACTGATAATTATTTTGCTAGTGTGAAAAACAAGAACAGAAGAGAAAACACAAGTTATTCATATTGGGAATGAAAGAAGCGCCTACGTACATTACATGGACTATAAGGTGATATTAAGAACAAACTTATGCTGGTAAATTTACATGAAACTCTAAAAGGTTAGAAAAATTATTTTAAAGGTACAAGTTACCACATTCACAGAAGTAAAAAATTTGAATAGCTGTACATCAAATATATAAATTGAATTGTCAATCAAAACCTTCCCACAAAAAGGGCCTGGCATGGTGGCTCACACCTGTAATCCTAGCACTTTGGGGAGGCCAAGGTGGGCAGCTCCCCTGAGGTCAGGAGTTCGAGACCAGCCTGGCCAACAGGACGAGACCCCCGTCTCTACTAAAAATGCAAAAGTTAGCTGGGTGTGGTGGCACGCGCCTGTAGTCCCAACTACTCAAGAGGCTGAGGCAGGAGAATCGCTTGAACCTGGGAGGCGGAGGTTGCAGTGAGCCAAGATAGTGCCACTGCACTCCAGCCTGGGCAATAGAGTGAGACTGTGTCTCAAAAAACAAAAACAAAAACAAAACCTTCCCACAAAGAAAACCTGAAACGCTAGATGGCTTTTCTGGTGAATTCTGTCTAATATTTAAGGAAGAACTATTACCAGTCCTTCGCAAAAAAGAGAGAGATGAAACATTGCCTCATTTATTTTATGAAGCTAGCATTACCCTAATACCAAAATTAGATAGAGATTTTTACAGGAAAATATTTCTTATAACTATGGAGGGAGAAATCCTTTACAAAATAGTTGCAAACTGAATTCAGTAAAATATAATAAAATGTATAAATACGTTTATAGTATACATCATAGCCAAGTAGGCCATGTGGCTTGTTTACAAAAACATAGTAGGCTGGGTGCAGTGGCTCACGCCTGTAATCCCAGCACTTTGGGAGGCTGAGGTGGGTGGATCATGAGGTCAGGAGTTCAAGACCAGTCTGGCCAACGTGGTGAAACCCTGTTTCTACTAAAAATACAAAAATTTGTCAGGCGTGGTGGCACGTGCCTGTAGTCCCAGCTACATGGGAGGCTGAGGCAGGAGAATTGCTTGAACCTGGGAGGCGGAGGAGGCAGAGGTTACAGTAAGCCGAGATCATGCTGCTGCACTCCAGCATGGGCCACAAAGTGAGACTCCATCTCAAAACAAACAAACAATCAAACAAATAGAAATGCTGAATAGTGCTGAATGGCCCTAGCACTGCTCTTGATCGTAGGAGGGAAATACTTAGTATTTAGTATTTCATTATCAACTATTGTAGGTTCTTCAGCAATGCCCTCTATCAAGTTTACAAAGCTGCCTTATATTCCTACTTTGCTCTAAGTTTAGCTCTTTTTTTTTTTTAACATGAAATGGGTGTTGAATATTGTCAAATGCTTTTTCTCATTTACTATACTAATATGGGGATGTACAGCTTGTTTAACAGCTTATAATCCATCACTGTACATCCCCATATTAGTATAGTAAATAAGAAAAAGCATTTGACAATATTCAACACCCATTTCATGTTAAAAAAAAAAAGAGCTAAACTTGGAGCTATTTGTTTGTACGCATATAAACATGGATAAATCTGGCCAGGTGCGGTGGCTCATGCCTATAATCCCAGCATTTTGAGAGGCCAAGGCAGGCAGATCACTTGTGGTCAGGAGTTTGAGACCAGCCTGGCCTGCATGGTTAACCCCCGTCTCTACTAAAAATACAAAAATTAGCTGAGTGTGGTGGGATGTGCCTGTAGTCCAGCTACTCGGGAGGCAGAGGCAGGAAAATCACTTGAACCCAGGAGGTGGAGGTTACAGTGGGCCGAGATTGCGCCACTGCACTCCAGCCTGGGCAACAGAGAGATACTGTTTCAAATGAAAAAAAAAAAAAAAAGAAAAGAAAAAGGATAAATCTCGAAAACATTACTCCAAACAAAGGAACCCAGACAAAAGTAATCTTTAGGGTGAGAAGGAGGATCAGTGTGAGTAGGGGCAGGCTTTTGATCTAAGAATGTATGAGGAAAGTTTTTGTGCTATGGGAAATGTTCTTATCTTGATTGTATGGTGGTTATAACACTGTATATATTTGGCTAAACTCATGAGTGAGTTTTATTACATATAAATCATAATCCAATTAAGTTAATGTTTTAAATTCTTATTTATCATGCTAATCTTCTCTGTATTGTTCCAAATTTAGTATATATGCTGCCAAAGCAAGCACTTAAGTTAATTTTTTAAATACAAAAGTATGCTATTGGATTCAGTGATTTGTTCTTGATGACATCTGCATGTCTTCACAATTTTTCAAGGAACGTGGCCTGGGGTGGGATACTGCAGTGGCAGTGCCATCTTGTGGTAAGATCTTTGGAGTTAGGTAGACACAAATATGAATTCTGGCTCTGAAACTTGCTACATTCCAGTACTTTGTTCCCCTGAATTATTTTGGATTTCCTAAAAACAGTAACTCCTGTGTTTTGAGAACCTATACTGCCCAGGTACTATGCTAGGCACTTATGTGTATGTTATCTCATTAATTGTAATAATAATAATACAACTCAAAATAACATTTTTTGAGTTCCTTAGTATGTATTAGGCACTCTGCAAAACATTTTTCGTGAATTATGTCACTTAATACAGCAACCCAACGAAGTGTTTGTTCTACGGTTGTCATTTCCACTTTGCAGAAGAAGAGATTGAGGCTGAGAATCGTGTTTTTTTTTTTTTCTCTGAGACAGGTTCTCACTCTGTCATCCAGGATAGAGTGCAGTGGCAACGATCATGGCTCACTGCAGCCTCCATCTCCTGGTCTCAAGCAGTACTCCTGCCTCAGTCTCCTGAATAGCTGGGACTACATGCATGTACCACCATGCCTAGCTAATTATTAAAAATTTTTTGCAGTGGTGGTGTCTTGCTGTGTTGCTCATGTTGGTCTCAAACTTCTGAGCTCAAGCTGTCCTTCTACCTTGGCTTCCCAAAGTGCTGGGATTATAGGCATGAGCCACCTTGCAATAGAGAGTAATTTTTAAAATATGAGGAACTCAGGTTGCTGTCATGATTCCAGCTTTTTTTCTATTCCTCTCTTTCTGTGGAACAAAAGGCTATTTGTCTCATGTGTTACCCAGGCTTTCTGCAAGAGTAACTGGGACTTTAAGTTAAAGTCCCTTCTTGTTTTTCCTTTAAGAAACTTCTTTTAAGTCATGAGGGCTCAGAGTGTTTTCAAGAGTGTAAGAAGGTGGTGTCAGGTCTTGGAGATTGGTTTCTGAGCACTGGACAGACTTGCAAATGCATAAGCTCAGTTCCAGACAGGTACAGCTCTAGAAATATCAACCTCAGCCACAAGCAAAAAGGCAATGTTTATATGTGTTTGGTATAAAAACTGTGACTTATTTTTCTACTCTTTCCATAAACAGAATGATTCTTTGTCAGCAGTGACATTTTTGAAGGCCAAGATTGATTAAAGTTTTTGCTTCCACAACTATAGTGTTGAACCAGAATTATTTTTATGATAGTTAATCACTATCCAAAGTGCTCAGATAGGGATCTTTTTAAGGAAAGTTAAAAAGTATCATTGAGACCATGAATAATTGCATTGTAGCATTGCTTACTTAGGTAGTTGTGTTCCCATAGAACTTGTGTATCTTAAGTTCTCCCCCCACTCTTCTTTTTCTTCATCAGCATGGAATTATTTTTCTTCTTTTAATATGTAATATAATCAGTCTTTTTGGTATTCATGTACTTAACTGTAAATGGAATTGAATTATATTTTAATCTGAAACTGTAGACTAGCAGCAACCTAACATAAGCAGATATATGAAAGATAAGTACATTCTGATTCACTGATCTTTAAAATAGTGTAGTGCCAGAAATCAGCTGATTAATTTATAAGTAGATTTGATTCCTGAAAAATAATTGTGGGGCACAGGGAAAATTGTGATTTCTCACTGTTTCTCATTAGCATCATGTCTATTTTTGCTTTTTTACCTTTCAGTCATTTTTCTTTTTTTCTTTTCTTTTTTTTTTTTTTTGAGACAGAGTTTCACTCTTGTCATCTAGGTGCAGTGGTGCAATCTTGGCTCACTGCAGCCTCCGCCTCCCAGGTTCAAGTGATTCTCCTGCCTCAGCCTCCTGAGTAGCTGGGATTACAGGCATGTGCCACCACGCCTGGCTAATTTTTTGTATTTTTAGTAGAGACAGGGTTTCACCATGTTGGGCAGGCTGGTCTCGAACTCCTGACCTCAGTTGATCTGCCTGCCTTGGCCTCCCAAAGTGCTGGGATTACAGGCATGAGCCACCACGCCTGGCATTTTTCTTTACTGTATAGAGTATCCTTCCTTATTTTGGTTTGTCTGTCCTTTGCAGACCAACTATACTTCAAGTTTAATTTAAGTCTCATTTCTCTCACAAAGCTTTCTCTATCTGATACAACACATTTGTATTAGTCTGTTCTGGCAGTGCTATAAAAAAATACCTGAGACTGGGTAATTTATAAAGAAAAAAGGTTTAATTGGTTCGCAGTTCTGCAGGCTATACAGGAAGCATGGCAACATCTACTTCTGGGGAGGCTTCAGGGAGCCTTTACTCGTGGTGGAAGGCAAAGCAGGAGCAGACATCGTCACATTGCCAGCGCAGGAGGAAGAGAGAGAGGGGAGGTGGCACACACTTTTAAACACCCAGATCTCACGAGAACTGTATCACAAGAACAGCACCAGAGGGGGAAATCTGTCACACATGATTCAGTCACCTCCTACCAGACCCCACTGCCAACACTCAGGATTATAATTTAACATGATTGGGGATGCAAATCCAAACCATATTATTTCACCCGTGGCCCCTCCCAAATCTCATGTCCTTCTCACATTGCAAAATACAATCATCCCTTCTCAGCAGTCCTCCAAAGTCTTACTTCATTCTGGCACTAACTCAGAAGTCCAAAGTCTCATCTGAGACAAGGCTGGTCCCTTTTACCTGTGAGCCTGTAAAAGCAAAAGCAGGTTACTTACTCCTAAGATAAAATGGGGGTATAGGCATTGAGTAAATACTCCCATTCCAAAAGGGAGAAAATGGCCAAAAGAATGATGCTATAGGCCTTGTGCAAGTTCAAAACCCAGCAGGATAGTCATTAAATCTTAATGTTCCAAATAATCTCCTTTGACTCCATGTCTCATATCCAGGGTACAATGATGCAAGGGGTGGGCTCCCAAAGCCTTGGGCAGCTACACCCCTGTGGCTTGGAAGTGTTCAGCTTCCATGGCTGCTCTCAAGGGCAGGTGTTGAGTGCCTCCAGCTTGTCCAGGTGCAGGGTATTTAGTGGATCTATCATTCCAGGGTCTGGATGATGGTGGCCTTCTTCTCACAGCTCCACCAGGCAGTGCCCCAATGGAGACTGTGTGTGTGGGGGTCCAACCTCACATTTCTTCTCTGCACTGTCCTAGTAGAGATTCTCCATGAGGGCTTCTGCCTGGACATCCAGGCTTTTCCATATAGCATCTGAAATCTATGCGGGGGCCCCCATGCCTCAACTCTTGCATTCTGTGCACCTGCAGGCTTAACACCACATGGAAGCAGCGGCCCAAACAGTACCCAGGTTCCTTTGAGCCATGGCTGGATACAGAGCAGCCAGGATGCAGGGAGCAGTTTCCTGCGTCTGTGCAGGGTGGTGAGGCCCTGGGTCTCACCCACCTCGTAGGCCTCTGGGCCAGTGATGGCAGGGGCTGCTGTGAAGGTCTGTGAAATGCCTGTGAGGCCTTTTCTTCATTGTTTTAGCTATCAGCACTTGGCTTTTCTTTACTTATGTAAACTTCTGCAGCCCGCTTGAATTTCTCCCCTGAAAATTGGCTTTTCTTTTCTACCACATAACTGGGCTACAAATTTTTCAAACTTTTACACTCTGCTTCCCTTTAAAATATAAATTCATTGGCCGGGCTCGGTGGCTCATGCCTGTAATCCCAGCACTTTGGGAGGCTGAGGCAGACGGATCACCTGAGGTTGGGAGTTTGAGACCAGCCTGACCAACATGAGAAACCCCATCTCTACTAAAAATACAAAATTAGCCAGGTGTGGTGGTGCATGCCTGTAATCCCAGCTACTTGGGAGGCTGAGGCAGGAGAATTGCTTGACCCCAGGAGGCAGAGGTTGTGGTGAGCAGAGATCACGCCGTCGCACTCCAGCCTGGGCAACAAGAGTGAAACTCTGTCTCAAAAAAAAAAAAAAAAAAAAAAAAAAAATATATATATATATATATATATATATATATATATATATATATATATGTTCGTTTCAGGTCATTTCTTTGCTCACACATACGAGCGTAGGGTACTAGAAGCAGCCAGGCAACATCTTGAATGCTTTGTTCCTTAGAAATTTCTTCCTCCAGTTATCCTAAGTCATCATTCTCAACTTCAAAGTTCCACAGATCTCTAGGCAGGGGCACAATGCCACCAGGTTCTTTGCTAACACATAACAAAAGTGACTTTTGCTCCAGTTCCCAATAAGTTCCTTATTTCCATCTGAGCTCTCCTCAGCCTGGACTTCATTGTCCATATCACTGTCAGCATTTTGTTGACAACAAGTTGATAAGTCTCTAGGAAGTTCCTAATTTTCCCTCATCTTCTTGTCTTCTGAGCTCTCTGCACTCTTCCAGCCTCTGCCCATTACCCAGTTTCAGAGACGCTTCCACATTTTCAGGTGTCTTTATAGCAATGCCCCACTTTTCAGTAGCAATTCTCTCTGTTAGTTTGTTTTCACACTGCTATAAAAAATACCCGAGACTGGATAATTTGTAAAGAAAAAGAGTTTAATTGTCTCACTGTTCCATGGACTTTATAGGAAGCAAGGCAGCATCTGCTTCTAAGGAGGCCCAGGGAGCTTTTACTCATGGCAGAAGGCAAAGTGGGAGCAGGCCAGAGCAGGATGAAGAGAGAGGAAAGGTAGCACACACTTTTAAACAACCAGATCTCCTGAGAACCCTACCACAAGAACAGCATCAAAGAGGGAAATCAGCCCCCTATGATCCAGTCACCTCCCATCAGGCCTCACTTCCAACACTGGGAATTACAATTTGACATGAGATTTGAGCAGGGCCACAAATTCAAACCATATCAACATTTTTTTTCTTTTCTGAAATTCTTGTTGCTCTTCTCTTTAATACAGTTTAAATTGTCTCCTATATATTATTATCTATATATTAGCTTTATTATTTTTTGTTTTTAATTTTTTGAGATGGGGTTTTTCTCTTGTCACCCAGGCTGGAGTGCAGTGGCACGATCTCGGCTCACTGCAACCTCTGCCTCCCAGGTTCAAGTGATTCTCCTGCCTCAGCCTCTTGAGTAGCTGGGATTACAGGTGTGTGCCACCACGCTTGGCTAATTTTTTTGTATTTTTAATAGAGACAGGGTTTCAACAGAGTTTCACCATGTTGGTCAGACCAGTCTTGAACTCCTGGTCTCAGGTGATCTGCCCACCTTGGCCTCTCAAAGTGCTGGGATTACAGGCATGAGCAACCACACCCAGCCTAGCTTTATTTTTTAGTTTCATTAATGTATGCTATCTTTTGTCATCCTCAGATCCTAAGGCAAGATAAGATAAATAATATTATTTCCCATTTTATAGATACAGAAATATTCATCAGACAAATGTCATTGACTGTACACTGTATGCCACATATTAGTGTTAGCTCTGGATATGGACAAATGTTAACTGTGTTATTTTGTTAGTAATATTTGATCTCTTCTTATTTATACAGGAGAGATTAAACAGATTCTAGAAAATGAACTTCAGATACCTGTGTCCAAAATGCTGTTAAAAGGCTGGAAGACGGGAGATGTGGAAGACAGTGTGAGTTTCTTAATTGCATAGAAATAAAAGAAAATTAAGTTATGCCATTGATTAAATGATATGTAAAAATTGGTTTTAATTAATGTTGTTACATATGGCAGTAGTAGATTTGGCAATAGTAATTTAGTTTAAGGAATCAGCAAGTAGTGTTTTCTAAGCTAAAATATTTCATGATAAACCAATAACAATTGTAAATGAGTAGATTTGTAAATGAAAACAGTATATGGCATGTTTTTCCTATTTCTAACTTTTAAAGGAGTTTGGCCCTTTTTTTGAGAGGCTTTACCTTTTTCTCAAACCTCCTAGAGTATCAGTGAATGCCCTGGAATAATAATTTTCTGAGCAATTACATATTGGTCCGAAAGAAGTCACATGCAGCGTATACATTTATGTCAAGTATTGATTATGGAACAAAGATAATAGGAAATTTTTTAAACTTGGAGAATTTAAATAAGGATGTTGTTTTCCTTGTTGACTTGGATAGTGGCAGGTGCATGGAATGAATTATATTTTAAGAATTTGCAGAGAGTATTGCAATTTTAAGGAAATAGTTGCTATTCTTAGGAACCCAGTAGCAACCTCAGATATAACATTTTTTACACACTTTTTTTTTTTGAGACAGTCTCGCTCTGTTGCCCATGCTGGAGTGTAGTGGCATGATCTCGCCTCACTGCAAACTCTGCCTCCTGGATTCAAGCAATTCTCCTGCTTCTGCCTCCCAGGTAGCTGGGACTACAGGTGCGTGCCACCACGCCCAGCTAATTTTTGCATTTTTAGTAGAGATGAGGTTTCACCATGTTGGCCAGGCTGGTCTCGAACTCCTGACCTTGTGATCCACCTGCCTCGGCCTTCCAAAGTGCTGGGATTATAGGTGTGAGCTGCTGCACCTGGGCTTACACACTTTTTTTTCTTCCAGAGAGAGTGGAGAAAGAAGGAAAAAAAATGAGTTAGTTCTAGAGTTTTAGATGTTTGAGGTGGAAATAATTATTGAATGTTTTCACATTAGTTACTGGGTCATTTTAATGGCCAGGCATAAACTTAGAATTTTCAACTTTTGGCTGGGCGCAGTGGCTCACGCCTATAATCCTATCACTTTGGGAGGCCGAGGCAAGTGAATCACCTGAGGTCAGGGGTTCGAGACCAGCCTGGCCAACATGGTAAAACCCCATCTCTACTAAAAATGCAAAAATTAGCTGGGCGTGGTGGCACGCCCCTGTAATCCAAGCTACTCGGGAGGCTGAGGTGGGAGAATTGCTTGAACCCACAAGGTGGAGGCTGCCATGAGCCGAGATCGTGCCACTGTACTCTAGCCTGGGCGACAGAGTGAGACCCTATCTCAAAAAAAAGATAAATAAAAATAAATAAAAATATAAAAACTTCAACTTTTGGTTCAGTTCTTCTTCGTGAATGGCTTCTTGCAGTCATTGTGTTTATAAGTACTTATATATGAGTTCATTTGAAATTTGGAGATGTTCTGAGTATTTCAGTGAGATATTTACAGGAAGTTTGGGTTGGCAAGATACAGATAAGTTTAGATTAGGTGGCAGCAAACTTTTTCTGTACAGAGTCAGATAGTAAATATTTTAGGCTTTGTGTGCCATACAGCTACTTAATCACTGCTCTCTTAGTGGGAAAGCAGCCGTAGACAATATGTGAAACATCGAGCATAATTATGTTTCAGTATGTTTATGGATGCAGACATTTGAATTTTATGTAATTTCACATGCCATAAAATATTCTTTTGATTTATTTTCCAACCTTTAAAAAAAGTGAAAACCATTCTTAACTCACAGGCCATACAAAAACAGGCAGCAGGCTGGGTTTGACCCACAGGCCATAGTTTGCTATCCCCCGCTGCTGCTGATGCATGGATTAAAACTTTTTAAAAGTGCTGACTGAGTAAATCAACAACCTTGACAGAAAGAAAACACCAAAATGAGTTCGCTTTTGTAGTTATTTATTCATTCATTCATTGAGAAACCTGTGGGTATGAATCAGTCAGCTGGGTGGAGTGGCTCACCCTTGTAATCCCAACACTTGGGGAAGCTGAGTCAGGCAGATCACTTGAGGCCAGGAGTCTGAGATCAGCCTGGACAACATGACAAAACCCTGTCTCTACTAAAAATATAAAAATTAGCTGGGCGTGGTGGTGCACACCTGTATTCCCAGCTGCTCAGGAGGCTGAGGCACAAGAATCGCTTGAACCTGGGAGGTGGAGGTTGCAGTGAGCTGAGATTTTGCCACTACACTCCATCCTGGGCGACAGAGCAAGAGTCTCTCTCCCCCGCCACACCCCCCCTCCCAAATTTGAACACAGCCTTGGTTACAAATACTTCAATTTACTTCTTTCTTCTTCTTTTTTCTTTTTATGAGATGAGTTCTCACCCTGTTGCTTAGGCTGGAGTGCAGCGGTACAATCATGGCTCATTGCTGCCTTGACCTCCTAGACTCAAGTGATGCTTCTACCTCAGCCTTCTAAGTAGCTAGGACTATAGATGTGCACCACGCCTGGCTAATTTTTTTTTTTTTTAAATTTTTGTAGAGACAGGGTCTTGCTATGTTTTCCAGACTGATCCTGAATTCCTGGACTCATGCAGTCCTCCTGCCTTGGCCTCCCAAAGTGCTGAGATTACAGGCATGAGCCATGGCACCCAGCCTCAGTTACTTATTTCTATGTACTCTTCACTAGGTGATTTCTGCTATTCCCATGACATTAATTTTCTGATTGCCTCCGAATTTATATTTTCAGCTCATACTTTTTTGAATTCACATATCCAAACTGGTAATTGACTTTTGTACTTGTATATCTTATTGGTGTCTCAAACTTAACGTGTTTAAAATGGAACTCTTGATTTTCCCTCCTATCCCATATCTCTACCAATCTTCCCCCAAGAAGTAGCACAATGATTATAGCCACTGCTGAATCCAAAACTGGCCATCAGTCTTTTCTCATTTCTTACAGCACCTAATCCTTTGTTATATTCTGTAGATTCGATCTTTAAAATGTATCTCAACCATGGCCACTTTTTAGTATTTCAGTTGCAACTGCTTAATTCAGGCCATGAGGCCATGAGCATCTCTTGTCTGGAGCAATATGGTAACTTCATTATTGTTGTCTCAGCTTCCTTTCAGTGTTTCTTCCAGTGCATTCTCCACACAGCAGTCAGAGTGATCTTTTAAAAACATAAATTGAATTATATCACTCTCCCATTAAAACATAGCTTTTTTATTACATTTCAAATAAAATTCAGACTACTCACAATAGTTTAAAAGTTATTGTATTACCCCATTCTCGCCTCTACAACATCATCTTGAGCCTTTCTTACTCTCACTTTCCATGTTCCAGCCACAGAAACCTTTTTTGAAATCTTTTAATAGGCTCAAGCTCTTTACATCTTTGTCTGACAGATGCTATTCAACTGCCTGGAATGCTTTACCTCCTGTTCTTCACATGGGTGTCTCTTTTTCATCATTCAAGTCTCAGCTTAAGGTTACCTTCTCCAACAGGCTTCTGTATCTAATTTGGTCCCATCCCAGCATTCTCCATCACACCAGTATTAATAGAGGGACCATATCTGTTTCTTTCATCATCGTATATTTAAAGCCTGGCATAACAGACCTGAAATAAATGTTTATGGGATGAATGCATGAGTAAATAACTTAAGGAAAGTATCCATTTTATTTAATCTTTCCATATGTGGTTTGATGGGAAAATTTAATAGAAAATCTTTGGATAGTGGCATGGAAAAAGAACAATAATGATCAAATGGCAAGCATTTACCAATAATTCACAAAGTAAAACAATGAAAGATAAAAAGAGAAAAATAATTTGTGTGTGTGTGTGTGTGTTGTTTGCATGTTAACTCTATAGAGATAACTCATCAATTTCAAAAGGATATCACATATTTGACATAAAGTTTCAGGATGTCCATGTCTCCTGGTAAATTGTAAAGTTATAGGTAATTGCCAAATGCAATGTTTTTTTCAAACTATGGACCATAAACCATTAGTGGATTGGGAAGTTAATCGAGTGGGTTATAGTCAGCAGCATTAAACAAAAACAAACAAACAAAACAGAAGAAGAAAGAAATGAAAAAAGAGAAATAGAATACAATAGGAAACGCCAGAGTGTATTTCAAATAATAAGGGTAATTATGTATTTCTTTTCATTTAACACATAACTAATATGAGTCAAGAGTAAGTCTCAATACCCTTGGATTAAGACTGCACACTTAATAAGCTGGGTCCTCTCATGGAGGGGTTAAGAATAAGTTCCATATGTTCCATGCTTGTGTAAGATTGCCCCTCCCCAGGAAGGAATATATTCTTTCTCTATATATTCTCATGGTTTGCTTCCTTCACCTTTTAAGTTTTTGCTCAAATGTCACATTCTCCAAGTGAGACCCACCTTGATGGCCCTGTTTAAAATTGCTAAGCTCAACCCCACATTCTTTATCCCCCCTTCCCTGCTTTATTTTTAGTCAAAAAATTGTCACTTTCAACATTCAACTATATAGGGTTACTTATTTATTCCTACTCAAATGTAAGCTCCCTAAGATCAGAGAATTTTATTTTAGGCTGTTCTGTTCAATGCTATATTCTCAGTGGCTAGAGTAGTCCTGATACAGAGTAGGTGGCTCAAAAAATATCTGTTGATAAGTGCATTTCCTGGCTTATGATGTAAAGGTATACAATGTATTTCTTAATGTGTATTGGTTTCAAGAAACATTTGAAGTACTTCAGCAAGTTTTTACCTTCAGGTTAGGAGTTTGAAATGTATGTGAATTTTCTGGCAAAGAAATTTGGTGAATGAAATTTTCTGTGCTTATCAAGATAGTAGGTCATATGTAGTACAATAGTAATTTATTCATTTCAAAGAGTGAGAGCTTTAACAAAAAAGATATCTGGAGTAAAAGATATATAGGTAACACCAGAGACCTCATCCAAGTTACCTAACCTCTCAGGCTATATAGCTTCCCATCTATAAAATCGTTGGCTTGAGGTGCTCTCAGTGATCTTTTCAAGGTCTAATGATCTCTGAAAACCTATATTGCCAATTTTTGCCATGATGACCCTGAAACGAAGTATATATTATTTGCAAGGATATACTTCTTCAGTGAAAAAGTAATTGAGTCCCAACTGTGTTCTTATCTGTTTGTGTTGCTTCATGAGCTAAAGAGTTTATATATTAACATTCAGGTTTATGCTAGTTCATTTTATATATGTGTATGTGTGTATACACATATATACACACATACACATACACTCACATGTATACACATACACATAAACACACATATATGTATATGTATGTACGTGTACACATGTACACATGTATATGCATGTACGTGTACACATGTACACATGTATATGCATGTACGTGTACACATGTACATATGTATATGTATGCACATGTACACATGCACATATATAGACACACATATATATGTATGCATATACATATATAAAATAAACTAGCATAAACCTGAATGTTGTATACATACAATATATATAGGTATACAACCATATTTCCCCTATATATGTATATATTATATATATGGGCAATAAGGTTACTTGGATTCAGTAGTTCTTTTGCATTACCCTATTTAGGAAATTATCAAAAGATAAAAAAAACTACAAAATTAACAATTTTTCAAGAATTACAGGAAAAATCAATAATGAATAATCAACATCAACATTCATTTTTTGCTGTGTTTTTTCTTTTTCAGACGGTCCTAAAATCTCTACACTTGCCAAAAAACAACAGTCTTTATGTCCTTACACCAGATTTGCCACCACCTTCATCATCTAGTCATGCTGGGTAAGTTGTTTATATTTCCTGGGAACATGAAATGAAAAACTCAGTTGTTAAAATTGCTTTAAGTTGTATATAAACCTCAAAATTAAATCAAATACAAGTCTTGTTGAAATTGACCTTACCAACTACTATGAAGTATATCAGGTTTGAAACAGTTTGTTCTGGATAGTTTGTTTTAACGGTATAGTCCTCTTATACCACTTTAAAGTCTTTAGCATAACTCCAGTATAATTTTTAAAAATTGTCAAAATGGTACTTCTCTGACTGAAGGGAAAGGATCCAAGTTGGAAGGAAGAGAAAGTATAAATGGAGTTCCAATCTCTCTCATTGCTAAAGAAAGCATACCTTTGAGGAAAATTCATTGAGCTCTGCAGAGTAAAGCTTGAAAAACACTGATATAATTTTTTTTTTTTTTTTTTTTTGCGACGGAGTTTCACTCTTGTTGCCCAGACTGAGGTGCAATGGTACGATCTTGGCTCACCGCAACCTCTGCCTCCCGGATTCAAGTGATTCCCCTCCCTCAGCCTCCTGAGTAGCTGGGATTATAGGCATGTGCCACCATGCCCAGCTAATTTTGCATTTTTAGTAGAGATGGGGTTTCTCCATGTTGGTCGGGCTGGTCTTGAACTCCTGACCTTAGGTGATCTGCCCACCTCGGCCTCCCAAAGTGCTGGGATTACAGGCATGAGCCACTGTGCCTGGTGATGTAAATTTTTTATTAAGATTTTCTCTCTGGAATAGAGGGTCTCATTGTTTTTTCAGTTTTCACAGTGGAACTCAATACATTTATACAATGATCACATGATTTTAATTTTTAATTATACATTACGTTTTTTATTGTTTAATGAAGCAAACTGACCTATAGTGGATGATTATGCTAGTGATAATAATTTTTATGAGGAATCTTTTCATACAGTATTATTCCAGAACTATGTTTATTTTTAGATTTTCTGTTGTTGATACAAATTTTTCTCTTTTAAATACAACAACTTGGTGATTTTTTTGTGGTAGGGAGACTTGTGTCCCTAAATTTTGAACATTGTCAAGCTTTCCCCCCACCACTTGCCAAATGTCTTGATTTTTAGGTAGATAGTAGCAAAAATAAAATTAAATTTGGCTTCACTGAAGTAGAAATCACTGAACTGAAAAAGTTAAATCTTGTGTAGTTGTATTGGATGGTCTGTTAATAGTTGGTTTTGGGTTAAGAATTTAAAGAGTTCTTGGATTGCTCTTTATTTTCTATGTTTAGACCGTATGTTAATGGGAAGTGGAATTTGCACACAGTTACAAAATTACAAACTACAAACTTATGGTCCATGTGTTTATAATAATGTTGATGTGAACCTCAGATGAAATTAAGTTAAATAGTTATAGGTATGGTTCTGTATCTAGTCATGTAGAACATTATTTTGTAGGTTAGTTAACAAAGTGTAATCACTGTCATAAAATAGGTAATCCACATAATTAAAAGCAGACAGGAGATGTCATTGTTTATAATCTGTTGCTTTCCAGTAGCGTGATTAAATGGATTTATCAAAATGTCTACCTGGGCTAATGGAAACGTTCTTCATTGCCATGTAGCTGACCTTAGTTTGATTGCCAGTCACTCACTCCCTAGGCAAGCAGGAGTCTACAGTGCTGCTGAAATGCAGTGTTTATTGGAGAATGAGTACTTTATCTAGCATTAAAATATACTTCTCTATTTGGCTTTGTGGATTTTTACCAAGTTATAATGATTCTTTTTTTGTATTGGAAGAATAAGAGAGAAAAGTTCAAAGGTGAACAAAAAACATAGTGGGAGGAGGGACAAATGGAGACTCCTGCTAATGTAAAAGTTATGTTAATGTACTTTTTATTAACACATAACTTAAAAGCTAGGGTTTACTTCTTTTAGTATGTTTATTCAATGTATCTTTCTATAAAACTAGAGATTTTTAAAATAGCATATATATTGAAAGCTGATTTTGTGGGAGACAATTTAAAAAACAAAACAAAATCCATGCAGAACCTTAAAAGTTGATGGTAATAATTATTTTTAAGTTGTGAGTTTTATTTTGTGACTCATCAAATAAAAATATTTTGACATCTTTTTTTTTTCTTTCTTTCTTTTTTTGGAGACGGAGTTTCGCTCTTGTTGCCCAGGCTGGAGTACAATGGCATGATCTCAGCTCACTGCAACCTCCGCCTCCTGGGTTCAAGCAATTCTCCTGTCTCAGCCTCCTGAGTAGCTGGGATTACAGGTGCCCACCACTACGCCTGGCTAATTTTTGGTATTTTTAGTAGAGATGGGGTTTCACCATGTTGGACAGGCTGGTCTCAAACCCCTGAACTCAGGTGATCCTCCCACCTCGGCCTCCCAAAGTGCTGGGATTACAGGCGTGAGCCACTGTGCCCAGCCACTTTACATCTTAACTATATAATAGAATCAAACAAACAATATCCTAGTAAGTTATATAGCATATCATATTATCAAAAATGGTAGACAGATAAACTTGCTTTGTACTAGACTTCATAATGAATCAAACTGATTTGCTTTTGCAGAATTTTGTTACAATTGATGGATTCTTAGAAATCTTATTTGTAATTTGTAACCTAATTTATAATCTAAAAAGGAGAAAAAAGATAATTATGATTCTAAGTGTTATATTTGGGAATTGGCAAATGAATATAACAACTGTGTAATTGGTAGAGTAAAATGGGAAGGTTTATGTATATATTATTGCATTGGCGTATATTACCTCACTTATAATTCTTAAGAATTTGCATGAAATTTCAGTGTGTGAATTCACTCTTAGTTACAGTATATTATTAATCATTTAATATAATGTAGATATAAAATAACATGTTGGCCGGGCACCGTAGCTTATGCCTATAACACCAGCACTTTGGGAGGCTGAGGTGGGAGGATCACTTGACAATAGGAGTTTGAGACCAGCCTGGAGAACATAGCGAGACTGTATCTCTACAAACAATTTTTATGAAATAGCCGGGTGTTGTGGCACGTACCTGTAGTCCTAGCTGCTCAGGAGGCTGAGGCAGGAGAATTGCTCGAGCCCAAGAGTTTGAGGTTACAGTGAGCTGAGATCATGCCACTGTACTTTAAGCCTGGGCAGTAGAGCAAGACCCTGTCTCTAAATAAAATAAATAAAATAAAATAGTTATTAAATTGTTCACTGACAAACCGTCTCACTCTTAAGTTTTGTTAAAGAAGTATACATACAGAAAACTGTATCTCAAACCATGTCCTGTTAAAAAACAAGAAAACAAAAAAACTTCTTAACTTGATTTTACTGCCACTAGGGGGTGCCTGGTAATTGAGTCTTTGTATTAATATAATTTCTTTCTAGGGGAAGAAATGGTATAAACTAAGAGCAGCAAAATTACCATATGAGTGCCTATAATTGTAAACTGAATGTTTTTAAAGTAAATTATGTGTTTCAGAAAACAGAATTTCAAGCTTTCTGAGAATCGAAGAGCAAACTCTTAATCATAATCTTTGTAACAGTTGAAAAGCATTTTAAGCCCTTTTAAAAAAGAAATCAGATTTCACTAATTAATTGAAAGGGTGAAGCAGTACTCCAGTGGCCTCTGTGATACAACTATAAATTCTATTATAAATCACAGTAAAATTAGGAAGGAGAAAACAAACTGTTAATTATACTGTTTCATATTATTACAGGAAAGATTCAGTTCATCAATGACTTATTGATTACTTAATAAAAACAAGCTGTGTCCTCAGGTAGCCTGTAACCTATTTATTAAGATGATTAGGCCTTTTCTTAAGTTATTCCTGTATAGAAAATATTCTTAGATACCAACTCATTCCTGGTGTTCTTTTTGATTGCTTCACCCAGATTCCTTCCTAAACTCTTCATTTCTTCACCTGCTCTAAATGTTGGTATTCTGGAGAGTTCTCTTCTCAGCAGTCTTTCTTATTGTACCTTCTCCCTGATATCTACCCTCAACTCTTCAATTTCTAAATATGTATAGATAACTTACAAATCTCTATTTAGCAACTCACATGTCCCAGTTGCCTGTGGAGTTTTTCATTTGTGTGTGTCCTATCTGTAATTCAAAATCATATGTCTCTGTACTACTACATGTGTTTTTCTTTTTCTTTTTTTTTTTTTTTGAGATGGAGTCTCGCTCTATCGCCCAGGCTGGAGTGCAGTGGCGTGATCTCGGCTCAATGCAAGCTCCGCCCCCTGGGTTCACGCCATTCTCCTGCCTCAGCCTCCCGAGTAGCTGGGAATACAGGCGCCCGCCAATACGCCCGGCTAATTTTTTGTATATTTAGTAGAGACAGGGTTTCACCATGTTAGCCAGGATGGTCTCAATCTCCTGACCTCGTGATCCACCCGCCTCGGCTTCCCAAAGTGCTGGGATTACAGGCTTGAGCCATCTTGGCCGGCCTACATGTGTTTTTCGTTTCAAATGTCCAACAGTATAAAATACTGAAGTGTATTCTAACCAAGATGCTGATTATTAAAAAAGCCATTGGGTTGGGAATATAAGTAATTAATAACTTTGTTAAAATCATTTTTGGTAGAATGGTGAGAATGAGAACTCGATTATAGTAGATTTTCATGGATAAACAAGAAATGAAGAAATGATTACTGTTATTTTCAGAAAACTTGATGGTGAAGGAAGGAGAAGTTGAGGGAGAAGTCAAGGTAAGATACTTGAGAAGTATTGGAAGCACAAGGAGTAAGAGACAGCAAGTAGGAAAAATGTAAACAAGTGAAACCAAAATAGAAAATGTGGCCAAAGACTGAGTGCAGTGGCTCACGCCTGTATTCCCAACACTTTGAGAGGCCGAGGTGAGTGGATTGCTTGAGGTCAAGAGTTTGAGACCAGGCTGGCCAATATGGTGAAACCCCATCTCTACTAAAAATACAAAAATTATCTGGGTGTGGTGGTGCACGCCTGTAACCCGAGCTACTCAGGAGGCTGAGGCAGGAGAATTGCTTGAACCCTGGAGGTGGAAGTTGCAGTGAGTTGAGATTGCAACACTGCACTCAAGCCTGGGCAGCAGAGTGGGTATGGAACTGTTTTAGTTTGCTAGGGCTGCTATAACAAAGTACCATAGACTGGGTAGCTTAAACAATAGGCATTTATTTCTCCTTGTTCTTGAGTTTGGAAATCTCCAAGATGAAGGTTCCAGTAGAGTCAGTTCCTGTTGAAAGCTCTCTTCCTGGTTTACAAGCCCAACTTCCTGCCATGTCCTCATATGGCAGAGAGAGAGAGGAGAGAGAGAGAACTCTGGTTTCCCTTCATCTTTTTATAAGGACATCAATCCCATCAGATTAGGACCCAGCCCTTATGACCTCCTTTAACCTGAATTGTATCCTGAAGATGCTGTCTCCAAGTACAGTCACAGTGGGTGTTAGAGAGTCAACATATAAATTCTAGGGGGACACAATTCAGTTCATAGCAGAGAGATACGGGTGGAGCCCAGGGATTAAGTGTTGAAATGACATTAGGTAACAGGTTTAGAGACAGTAGGAAAGGTGTAATAATAGAAGATTGGAGACAGATGGAGAACATTTCTGGGATCTAGATTTCAGTACTGTTACAGTAATGGTTGATGACAGATTCCAAATTATAGATAACATCAAAATAGAAAATAGGTAATAGTTATGAGAATAAGGATGTTAAGGAAGTGTGAAGCTAAACTGATAAGTGACAGTGACACAGTAATTAACATTTATGAAGCCAGGTTTTTTGGCAAGCCTGTTATATATGTTATCTTATTAGGTCATCATAATAAATCACAAGTAGATACGATTACCTGTTTTGCAGATAGAGAAACTGAGTTGGGGTAGAGGTGAGGTGACGACACAGAGATAGTGGTTATTGGGAACTACAGTTGAAGAAGGCTAGAAATACTGATTAACTTTAGTCTGTATTTTAAAAACATAAATCTAAATATAAGTGTTATAAATAAAGAGAATAAACACTAAAAAAAAAAAGAAGTAAATAACCTGCATACATCTAGAAGAAAGAAAGGAATGAGGAACTCAGTCAATACATCAGCAAACAGCAATTTGAAACTGAAACAGAAACACAGGAAAACAAGTATAATAGAAAACAGAAAATATGATGGCAAAAAGAAAAATAAAATTTATCAGAATTCTCCATGAACAAGAAAGTACTAAACTCTCCTATTAAAGACAGAAACTCTCAAATAGAATTTACAAAAATAGCCATATGTTGTTTACCAAAGAGACATCTTTTAAAGAAATGACAGAGAAAATAAAGGAAAAGAAAGTGACCCCAGGGAAATATTAACTGTAAGAATATACTATAGTAATAATATTTATATCACATAAAATTGAATTTAAGGCAAATAGCATTGAAAGACAATTTGCCAAGAAGATATGACAATTGCAGGCTTGTATGCACAAGTCTACAAAATTGGACAGAATTACAAGAAGATATAGACCAACTCCACATTGAACACAAAATCTTTCAGAAAATAATGTATTTAAGGCCAGGTGTGGTGGCTCATGCCTATAATCCCAGCACTTTGGGAGGCCAAGGTGGGCAGATCACGAGATCAGGAGATTGAGACCATCCTGGCTAACATGGTGAAACCCCGTCTCTACTAAAAAATATAAAAAATTAGCCAGGCGTGGTGGCGGGCGCCTGTAGTCCCAGCTACTCGGGAGGCTGAGGTGGGAGAATGGCGTGAACCTGGGAGGCAGAGGTTGCAGTGAGCTGAGATCGGGCTATTGCACTCCAGCCTGGGCGACAGAGCCAGACTCTGTCTCAAAATAAATAAATAAATAAATAATAATAATAATGTATTTAGCAATACATCTTTGTCAGCTATAGAAGATTTTAATAACCCCGTAAAGCACTCATGGAATACTTAGAAAACTGACCATGTAGTAGAACACAAAGCCAGTATCAAAGAATCACTATCATATTGACTGCATTGTCTGGTCATTATGCAATAAAATTATAAGTAAAGTAATAATAAAAACATATATCCCAAATCCCCCATGCATTTGGATCCTACAGATAATTTACTTCAAAACAATTTATGGGTAAAAATGAAGTCATAATAGCAAACATCAGATACTTAGAAGTGAACATAAATGAGATTGCTAGGTACTAAAACTGTGGATACAGCCAAAATGATACTTAGAAATTTGTAGTCTTAAGTCCACCAATTAGAAGACAAGTGTTTTGAGGCCGGGCGCGGTGGCTCATGCCTGTAATCCCAGCACTTTGGGATGCCAAGGCGGGCGGATCACGAGGTCAGGAGATCGAGACCATCCTGGCTAACATAGTGAAACCCCGTCTCTACTAAAAATACAAAAATTAGCCAGGTGTGGTGGCAGGTGCCTGTAGTCCCAGCTACTGGGGAGGCTGAGGCAGGAGAATGGCGTGAACCTGGGAGGCAGAGCTTGCAGTGAGCCAAGACTGTACCACTACACTCCAGCCCGGGGACAGAGTGAGACTCCATCTCAAAAAAAAAAAAAAAAGAGAAAAGATAAAACAGAAAGACAAGTGTTTTGAGAGCCCCCAGCTAAATTGGACTTCTAGTACCTCAGCAGTTAGCTACCTTACCTTAACAGAAAATCAAGGGGAACTGGACAGGAGTGTTTATAGTGTGCCTTTCATGGGATGCTTCTTTCACATGGTGGACAGCCTAAAGCCTAGTTGTCCAACCTGTGACCAGAGGGTCCCTCACACAGGAAACTTGTTTATACTGGTAGATGTCTTTGTGGCTCTTGTCTAGCTCGTGTCCAATTTTTGCCTGCGTGACCATCACTCTGGCTCTAGGAGCCTGACCTTTTGTTCTCTCCAGTATCTCTGGGAAAGCCCAGCTTGGGGCAGTTCCTAGTTCTTCAGATGGAAGGTGCAAATTCAATATAACACAATAGGAAGCAAGTTCAGAGATATTTTTACTTTCAGTTCCTAGGCAAGAAGGACATGAGTTGGGAGGGTAGTCCTCTGTCCCTGTGTCATGTGAAGCAGGAATGAAGAGTTGGGCAGAGAGAGAGTGAAAAGCGTGTAGCAACTAGCAATATATATAAGGGAAGTTCAAGAGCAAATACCTGAATGGTCCTGATAAAGGAAGCTGCAAGAAAATGTGGAGCCTAGTCTGTTAGGCAGGAGGGATGCCTCTAAGTTCTTATTTCTGACCACTGGCCTGAGCCATTTGGGTATAGTATAGAACTGGAAACTCTGTCAAGAGTAGCGGAGCCCTGCTTCTGGCATGAGAAAATTAAATGTTCAAAATGAATGTGGAAGCAACATAAAATTAAAGAATTCACTACAATAAGAAAGATAGAAAATAATTGAATTGTGTGTTTAACTTAAGAAAATAGAATAATAACCGCAGAGTAAGTGCACTGAAAATAGAAAGAAAGATTAAAGAGCAGAAATTAATGACAGAGGCAAGCAACAAGAATAAGAACTATTTACTTGAAAAGTCAAACCAGGAAAAAATGAGAGTAAGCATAAACAAAATACTAGGTATGAAAAAAAGGGACTTAAAACTACAGATTAAGAAGAGATTTTTAAAGTAATAAGATAATTATTAAATAATACTAAGCAAATAATAAATTAATAAATTATTTCAAAATAAACAATGAAATATCCATGTCTTTATGCTAATAAAATCCAAAATTTAGGTGAAATGGAAAATTTTATATAAAATATGAAGTACTAAAATGAGTACAAAAAGAGATGACCTGAAAAAATGATAATTATTAAATAAACTGAATTAGTTGTCAAAAATTCCGCATGCTGCTCCAACCCCCTTCACCCTCCAGAGGATTTTTCATAAATTTTCATGGAACAAATTATCACAATCTGTTTTTTTTATTTTGGAGAAGGAGTCTCTCTCTGTCACCAGGCTGGAGTGCAATGGCTCAATCTGGGCTCACTGCAACCTCTGCCTCCTGGGTTCAAGCAACTCTCCTGCGTCAGCCTCCTGAGTAGCTGGGACTACAGGCACGTGCCACCACGCCCAGCTAATTTTTGTATTTTTAGTAGAGATGAGGTTTCACCATGTTGGCCAGGATGGTCTCAATCTCTTGACTTCGTGATCCACCTGCCTCAGCCTCCCAAAGTGCTGGGATTACAGGTGTGAGCCACCACACCTGGCCTATCCCAATCTTACATAAACAGTTCTGTGAGATAGCTTTGGTGCAGTGGCTCACACCTGTAATCCCAGCACTTTGGGAGGCCAACGCAGGCGGATCACCTGAGATTGGGAGTTTGAGACCAGCCTAGCCAACATGGTGAAACCCTGTCTCTACTAAAAGTACAGTAATTAGCCGGGTATGGTGGCACATGCCTGTAATCACAGCTACTCAGGAGGCTGAGGCATGAGAATTGCTTGAACCCAGGAGGCAGAGGTTGCACTGAGCTAGGATTGCTGCTTATTTTATGATGTTCATATAATCTTGATACCAAAATCAGAAAAAGAAAATAAAAGAAAAAATACGGGTACATTTCACTTGTGACCATAGATAATAAAAATGAGTAGATAGGCCGGGCGTGGTGGCTCACACCTGTAATCCCAGCGCTTTGGGAGGCCGAGGCAGGTGGATCACCTGAGGTCGGGAGTTTGAGACCAACCTGTTCAAAATGGAGAAACCCCATCTTTACTAAAAATACAAAATAAGCCGGGTATGGTGGCGCATGCCTGTTATCCCGGCTATTTGGGAGGCTGAGGCAGGAGAATCACTTGAACCCGGGAGGCGCAGGGTGCAGTGAGCCGAGATTGTGCCATTGCACTTCAGCCTGGGCAACAATAGCGAAACTCTGCCTCAAAAAAAAAAAAAATATATATATATATATATATATATAGATAGATAGATAGATAGATAGATAGATAGATAAAGTTTTCTTTGGCTTCTCTCAGCCTTACTATTTAATGACTTTTTTTCCCTGTATCTATTCTACTATCTTCAAACAGCATCTTCCCCCAAGTTCAGATTGTCTCACTAAGATGTAAATGAACTAGTCCTCTCCATAAAACTACAGCTTGATTATAGCTACCCTGCTCAAAACTCTCCACTAGTTTTCTTTTTCTTTTCTTTTTTTTTTTTTTGAGACGGAGTCTGGCTCTGTCGCCCAGGCTAGAGTGCAGTGGCGCAATCTCGGCTCATTCCAACCTCCGCTTCCTGGGTTCAAGCGATTTTCCTGCCTCAGCCTCCCGAGTAGCTGGGATTACAGGTATGTGCCACCATGCCTGGCTATTTTTTGTATTTTTAGTAGAGGCAGGGTTTCACTATGTTGGCTAGGCTGGTCTCAAACTTCTGACCTCAGGTGATCCACTTGCCTCAGCCTCCCAAAGTGCTGGAATTGCAGGCATGAGCCACTGTGCCTGGCCCTCTCCACTAGCTTTCTATTACACTTCTAATAAAAATCCAAGTTCCTTACTGGGACCTATAAAAGACTTACATAATCTTATCCTTGTCTTTCTCTCTAACTTCGTCTTTTATCGCTGTCCCTCTGGCTCATAGCTCACCAGCCATACTGTTCCTCTTTAAACCTTCTAAGTGTGCTTAAACCTTAGAGCATTTATATTTTGCTATTCTCCTGCCAGTAATGATACTACCAGGTAACAACTTGGCTCATTTCTTCACTTTATTTAGGCCTCTACTCAAATATCACACCCTCAGAGAGGCTTTTCTTGATGCCCCTATCTAAAACAGCCCCTCTGTTATACCCTCTCTCTATCTTGCTTTATCCCTACCGTGCATTATATTAGTGATATTAGTAATTGTATTAGTCAGGGTTCTATAGGGGAACAGAACTAATAGGATATATGTATATACGCAAGGGAGTTTATTAGGGAGAATTAACTCACACAATCACAAGCTAAAGTCCCATGATAGGCCATCTGCAAGTTGAGAAGCAAGGAAGCAGTGGAGGGGATCAGTCCGAGTCCCAAAACCTTAAAAGTAGGGAAACTGACAGTGCAGCCTTCAGTCTGTGGCCAAAGGTCCGAGAGCTCCTGGCAAACCACTAGTGTAAGTCCAAGAGTCCAAAAGCTGAAGAACTTGGAGTCTGAACTTGGAGCTGAAGAACTTGGAGTCGGCCTGCTTTATTCTAGCTGCACTGGCAGGTGATTAGACAATACCCACCCAGATTGAGGGTGGGTCTGCCTCTCCCAGTCCACTGACTCAAATGTTAATCTCCTTTGGCAACACCCTCACAGACACTTTCAGTCAAGGGAGCAATACTTTCAATCAAGTTGACACCCGATATTAACCATCACAGTAATTTATTTATATTCATATTTGTTGTCTGTTTCTCTCACCACAATGTAAAACTACAGAAAATCAGGGATTTTTTGTTGTTCACTGTTGTATCCCTACCACCTAAAAAAGTGTCGGAAACATAGTAGATACTTGGAAGTGTTTGTGGAACGAATATTGTAAAGTGACACATTTCTAAAGACATTTGCCTTAGCTTTGATTTCTTTTGATTGACCAGATATATATTGAGTATCATCCTACAATGTGTTAAGTCTTTGTTCTAGGTGCTAGGGATATAATGAGCAAGACAGATAAGGTCCTGCTTTCATAGAATTTACAGTATAATATGTATAGAGGTGTATCTGGTTTATAATAAAACTATGGAGAAGATAACAAGAAAAAATATCAGATGATAGTGAGTACTTTCCAGAAAGCTAAAATATGGTGACATGATAGTGAATAATTGAATGACTAGTGTGGGTTGTAAGGTCAATAAAGGCCTCACTGAAGATGGACTATTTAAGCTGAGACATTAAAAATGGAGGGGCCATCTAAGTGAAGGGCAGAGTGAAGAATATGGGGGTATGGCTAGTGCCAAAGCCCTAAGGCCATGTATAAATATAACTGGAGAAGGTTTGACATTTCTGGGCTTTGTATTGCTGATGATCACCTTGCTAGAAAAGGACTGAAGAAATGTCTTGATAATAAAAGACAGTCTTTGCAACTTGCTTTAGTCACGGTCTAGTAAGTGATGAAAATGTCTAGTTCCATTTTAATTATGTACATTTTCTTTTCTTTCTTTCTTTTTTGAGACAGAGTCTCGCTCTGTCACCCAGGTTGGAGTGCAGTGGCGTGATCTCAGCTCACTACAAGTTCCGCCTCCCGGATTCACGCCATTCTCCTGCCTTAGCCTCCAGAGTAGCTGGGACTACAGGTGCCCGCCACCACGCCCAGATAATTTTTTGTATTTTTAGTAGAGACTGGGTTTCACTGTGTTAGCCAGGATGGTCTCAATCTCCTGACCTTGTGATCCGCCCACCTCAGCCTCCCAAAGTGCTGGGATTACAGGCGTGAGCTGCCACACCCAGCCATTTTTTGTATTTTTAATAGAGCCGGGGTTTCACCGTGTTAGCCAGGATGGTCTTGATCTCCTGACCTCGTGATCTGTCCGCCTCGGCCACCCAAAGTGCTGGGATTACAGGCGTGAGCTACCGTGCCCAGCCTATTTTCTTCATTTTTATATAACAGCAAGGTGTGACAGAAAATAGGGTATCCATTGTTTGTAGTTGTCCCTTTTACAAGTAGTATTGAGTCTTGCTATTGAACTTTTATCTTTTTGTGCTGGACTTACGGTTCCAGTTATTTATTATTATTATTTTTTTGAGATTGAGTCTTGCTCTGTCACCCAGGCTAGAGTATAGTGGCACAATCTCGGCTCTCTGCAACCTCCGCCTCCTGAGTTCAAGTGATTCTCCTGCCTCAGCCTCCCGAGTAGCTGGGATTACAGGTGCCCACCACTGTGCCTGGCTAACTATTTTTGTATTTTTAGTAGAGACAGGGTTTCACCATCTTGGCCAGGCTGGTCTCGAACTCTTGACCTAGTGATCCACCTTCCTTGGCCTCCCAAAGTGCTGGGGTTACAGGCATGAGGCACTGCGCCTGGCCCCAGTTAATATTTTAATGGCTTCATATGAGGGTATTATTGAGCTCTAGTCCTGCAGTCAAGCATATCACTGTCTTCTGTGGCCTCTGGGTTGTGAAGTTGCATTTAACTATGGCTTTGAATTAGTGCTGTTTGTTCAAGCAGGAGTAAATTCAGGGTACTAAATGGGACTCCTGTGATAGTTGAGTAAACTAGTGGTGTTAAAATATATGGCTTTTTGGCCAGGTGTGGTGGCTCACGCCTATAATCCCAGCACTTTAGGAGGCGGAGGAGGGTGGATCATTTGAGGTCAGGAGTTCAAGACCAGCCTGGACAACATGGCGAAACCCCTTCTTTACTAAAAATACAAAAATTAGCTGGGCATGGTGGCACACACCTGTAATCCCAGCTACTCGTATAGCTGAGGCACGGGAATTGCTTGAACCTGGGAGGCAGAGGTTGCAGTGAGTCAAGATCATGCCACTGTACTCCATCCTGGGCAACAGAGCGAGACTCTGTCTCAAAAAAAATTTTTTTTAAATGTCTTTTTGTTTTTGTCCTTGGAAAACCATTGGTGGGAAAGCAGATTACAGTAGCCATGAATTAAGCGAGAATAGAGTTCTTATATTTTCCAGTGGGTGCTGTGGAAGAAATTGAGGAGTAGTAAGTCAAGATAGCTGAGTTTTAGGTCCAGCTTGGCTTCAGAATCACTGTATGACTTAGGGAAGTCTGCACGGGGCCTCAGATCCTACCAAAAAATAGAGGCTCTTCTAGAGTTTTAGGTGTTCATAATGCCACTCATCCTTCCTTTCTTCTAAGGTTCTTAGCAGTAGATTAGACACATAGAAATCAGTAGCCAAATTGGAAAACAAAACTGCTTTAATGGCCGGGCAAGCACCTGATGGAGAGGATGTGGCCTAGACCTGAGTCCTAAATGGTGTCTTTTACCTCTTGCTCTAGATCTAAATCGAAATCTAAATTTAAATCTTGCTCTAGATCTAAATCTGAGAACCTTTATGCTCATGTGGTCTGTAGGAGTTATGATTGAGTCTTCAGAGCCTGATGGACTGATGCAGTAGACCTGCCTTACTAACCTAGTCACATTTGGAAAGACAGCTTAGAGATCTCATGGTAAGCTTTGTCCAGAGTGCACCTACCACAATGGGTAAAAAAAATGGTAGAGAACTTAGTGAACTAGGGCACAGGAAGTGAAAGAGGAAACTGCTGGTCTTGTCCCTGGCTTCTGTGAAATCTAACGTGGTATGTATGACCTTGTAAGTAATTCTAATTGGCTCTATTTTTCCACTAAGAGAAACAAATCTAGAATGGAGGAAGGGGGAGTGGGAAAGCTACATATTTTCTCATTTAAACTCTACCCTTGTGGGGAGAATCATCATGGGCAGAAATTTTATCTTCCCTGTGAACAGAGGCAGAAGCCTGAGAAAAAGCAAAAGAAACTTACACCTTCTCCCTGAAGCCTTTTCAGACTCTCTGTGTTTGTTATGCACTCCACTATACCCATTAAGTTTGGTACAATAAGCGAAAAATTCTGAAATACTCTTTATCTCTGCTTCTTATAACCATCCAGCAGCAGTGGTAATAGGTATCTACCTGTGCTCCTAGCCCTCGTCCTAGCAAAGAGGTGCATGCATCCACTGAGCAGGGGTGTGTGTGTGTGTGTGTGTGTGTGTGTGTGTGTATGTGTGTGTGTGTGTGTGTATATGTATATATATATGGTTGTTTTTTTTTTTTTTTTTTGAAAGACAGTCTTGCTCTGTCACACAGGCTGTAGCGTGGTGGCATTATCATAGCTCATTGTAACCTTGAACCACCCTGGGCTCAAGCAGTCGTCCTCCTGCCTTAGCCTCCCAAGTGGCTGGGACTAACTACAGGCATGTGCCATCATGCTTGGCTAATTTTTAAATTTTCTGTAGAGATGGGGTTTTGTGCTGGGTGTGGTGGCTCACGCCTATAATCCCAGCACTTTGGGAGGCCAAGGCAGGTGGATCACCTGAGGTCAGGAGTTCGAGACCAGTCTGCCCAACATGGTGAAACCCCATCTCTACTAAAAATACAAAAATTAGCCAGGTGTGGTGGCAGGTGCCTGTAATCCCAGCTACTCAGGAGGCTGAGTCAGGAGAATAGCTTGAACCTGGGAGGCGGAGGTTGCAGTGAGCCAAGATCAGGACATTACACTCCAGCTTGGGCAACCTGAGCGAAACTCAGTCTCAGAAAAAAAAGAAAAAAAAAGAGATGGGGTTTTGCTGTGTTGCCCAGGCTGGTCTTGAACTTCTGGCCTCAAGTGATTCTCCCATGTCACCCTCCCAAAGCACTGGGATTATAAGTGTGAGCCACTGCACCTGGTCGGAATGTGTATTGATATTCATACAGTGTGGCTTTTTCTTTTGGTAATTTCTCTCTGTCATCCTGTACTGAGGCCATTCTAGCCACTCTACTCTCCTCTCTCCCTGTTATCCCAACCATGAAAGATAACTGAGAAGCGTCATAGTAGAACTGTTGTGAGACTTAGTTATTAGAAGGACATGCTGAGGACGCTTTCAAATAGTTCTCATCCTACTTATTTTTTTTTTTTTTTTGGAGACAGTCTTGCTCTGTTGCACAGGCTGGAGTGCAGTGGCACAGTCTCCGCTCACTGCAACCTCTGCCTCCCGGTTCAAGCAATTCTCCTGCATCAGCCTCCTGAGTAACTGGGACTGCAGGAGCATGCCGCCACACCTGGCTCATTTTTGTATTTGTAGTAGAGATGAGATTTTGCCGTGTTGGCCAGGCTGGTCTCAAACTTCTGAACTCAGGTGGTCCACCCATCTTGGCCTCCCAAAGTACTAGGATTACAAGCGTGAGCCACCACACCCAGCCCTCATCCTGTTTCTGTTTCTCCACCACCTCATAATCTGCACAAATATTAATCCTTACATTTTTCTCTCTTGTCTATTTCCTACTATTTCAGTCTTTGGTGTCCTTCCTTAATACAACATAAGTCACATCCATGAGAGCTCTGACTTAGAATTGAGAGGAAAGCTCTAGGATACCAGCTTTGGAAGGAGCTAAATCAATCAGCCAATTCAGTCCTATTTTTGACTAGGAGAGGTACTGAAAGAGGAAGTAAAATGGTCGATTTACGCCTTAGCTTCTTCACTCAGAATGATCAGGATGATTTCTGCCTTATAGGATTTTAGAGAGGTCAGTATGTGATAAAATAAGATAGCATATATGAGCAGCGGGCCTTGCACAGTGCATGTGCTCAGTAACTTCTCTTTGCCAAGTCACAGAGCTAGTTAATGGATGAGCCAGGACTTAGATTTTATAGGGCTTTTTTTTTTTTTTTTTTGAGACTGTCGCTCTCTGTCGCCCAGGCTGGAGTGCAGTGGCGCGATCTCAGCTCACTGCAAGCTCTGCCGCCCAGGTTCATGCCATTCTCCTGCCTCAGCCTCCCGAGTAGCCGGGACTACAGGCGCCCGCCGCCACGCCTGGCTAATGTTTTTGTATTTTTAGTAGAGACCGAGTTTCACCATGTTAGCCAGGCTGGTCTCAATCTCCTGACCTCATGATCCACCCACCTCGGCCTCCCAAAGTGCTGGGATTACAGGCGTGAGCCACCGCGCCCGGCCTTATAGTGCTCTTAATTCCAAGTTATTCGTGTCTTTGAGCATTCTAGAGGTGAGTTTTTAACCAACTCACAGGTTGCTCAAAAGGTCAGAATCAATGTGGTCCTCAACATAAAGTCTCATTTCAATCTAGTTCATTTATGAAGTAAACTAGAAACAGTGCTTTTTGGCCCTTGTAGATGCTCAGTAAGTTGTTTAAGTGAATGGATGAAGCGATGATGCTCTTTCAGGAATAGATGAGCAATTGCCAGTGGGGGACTCCTGTGGCTAAGTATTTTTGTTTTCAAAGTAGAAAAAAACAGTAGGTTTTTAACTTTTTAATATCTCCAAATAATTTGCTACAATTTCTTTTGAAATGATTTTTCTGTGAGTGTGACTTCTTCATGCTGGCTTTTTTAGTGATCAGTATTTGTGAGGTTTTAGCAGTGCAGCAGAAAAGGAGACCTGGCCAGGCACAGTGGCTTCCTACTGTAATCTCAACACTTTGGGAGGCTAAGGTGGAAGGATTGCTTGAACCCAGGTGTTTGAGACCAGGCTGGGCAACATAGTGGAACCTCATCTCTACAAAAAAGTAAAAAATCAGCCAGGCATAGTGGCACGTGCCTGTAGTCCTAGCTACTTGGGAGGCTGAGATGGAAGGATTGCTTGAGGCCAGGAGGTTGATGTTGTTATGAGCTGAGATTGTACCACTGACTCCAGCGTGGGTGACAGAGTGAGACCCTGTCTCCAAAACCAACAAACAAAAAATGATTTAATAAAAAGAAAATGAGACCTTAAAGTGGCCTGTAAATAAGTTTTTTGAAAACTTTATATATGTAAGTAAATGTCTGAATGATTCAGTTGTAATTTTTTTTTCCGGCCGGGCACGGTGGCTCACACCTGTAATTCCAGCACTTTGGGAGGCCGACGCAGGCGGATCCTGAGGTCGTGAGATCGAGATCATCCTGGCCAATATGGTGAAACCCCGTCTCTACTAAAAATACAAAAATTAGCTGGGCGTAGTGGTGCGTGCCTGTAGTCCCAGCTACTCTGGAGGCTGAGGCAGGAGAATTGCTTGAACCTGGGAGGCGGAGGTTGCAGCGAGCAGAGATCGCTGGTGATAAGAGTGAGACTCGTCTCACTTATCTCCAGCCTGGTGGTGAGACTTATCTCCAGCGTGGTGATAAGAGTGAGACTCCTCTCAAAAGAAAAAAAAAAAATTTCCCAAAGTGCTTTACGAAACAACTTTTTGTTATTTTCATGAATGATATTGTAGGGAAGCAATAAATGTTTTCCCTCCACCCTCTGGGGTCTTGGCTGGGTACAAATTGCATTTACATAAAACAGATTAACAAGAGGAAAACATACTTAATTATATATGTACACATAGAAGCCCCACAAAATATGAGACTCGAAGAATGATCAAATGATTGAAACTTATATGGCATCCTGAGCTACAGAAAGGAATAGGAGCGTGGGGCTTCTGGTGGATGGTATGATACAAGTTATGAGAGGGTAAGGAGAGGAAATGTATGGTGAATAAAGGTTGTCTTATTATACAAATAAAAGGTCTCTCAGGTAGTAAAAATGGTCTCAGAGTAGCTCTCAGAAGAAGAGGTGATCATCTGTCTGGGTATGGTTTCAGCCTTCAGTCTCCTTTTCTGTAACATGAGTTAATTTTCCCTGGTTGATAAGATTCCTAGGGTGGGGGTTCAGGACAGTTGAGTTCCTTTTGGAGGATCTGTCTTTAGGCAGATAAGGAGAGCTCATAGAAAGCCTGTGTTTGTGTCAGCTGTTCCCCAAGTGCCCTCAGTTCAAAGTAAGCAGCATACCAAAGTGTCATATTGTGGGGTTGGCATTTCCTGAACTCCGTCAATATTTATCCGTAAAAGTATTTTAAGTTATCAGTATTGTAATTAGAACAATGCATGATTTGATATATTATTCTTAAAGTAATTTCATTTCTCAAGAATAAATTGATATAATCAGTATTTCAAGTACATTGTGATTACTGTTCAACTTAAATTTAATTGTAGTGAGCATCATTGTTAGATTTTTAAAAGTGAAATTTGAAAGTACTGGGCTGGTAAATGTTTTTTAATAAGGGGCCACTTAAAAGTGGCTCATTTTTTGGGAGGCCAAGGCACGCGGATCACCTGTCAGGAGTTTGAGACTAGCCTGGCCAACATGGCAAACCCCCGTCTCTACTAAAAATACAAAAATTAGCTGGGTGTGGTGGTGCATGCCTGTAATCCCAACTACTTGGGAGGCTGAGGTAAGACAATTGCTTCAACTCAGGAGGTGGAGATTGCAGTGAGTCAAGATTGCACCACTGCACTCCAGCCTAGGTGGCAGAACAAGACTCCTTCTCAAAGAAAAAAAAAAAAAAAGTGTGTTTAATTTTAAGAAGAGGACATTTCCCAAAAGTTATGCACTCTGGATGAAAGAAGAAACTTGTCCTCAATTAAAGCACTGATGGAAATCACAACACATCTAATTGGAGTGAGGTACCAAACCCATTTATACAGTTTATTGCCTATTGATAGTTCAGTGACTACTGAGATTAGCTTGTTAGCATCACATTTTGAAAAAGAACTGCGGGTATTCTCTACGGTTGATTTAATGGATAGTCAGAAACTTGGTCACTACTCTAGGAAACAAAAATTGATATGTCTATAAATATTTCTTTGCTTTTTTCAAATTTTGTCTAGATGGTTAGAATTGTGTTTTGACAGTTTTGCCATGTACTACTTGATGCATCACAATATATCACTATCATCACTAATTACCACATTTTGATTAATTTTACATACTTTGGTTAATACATTTTGATGTATCCAATATATCACTATATTGATTAAACAGTAATTATAGACCTGAGGCCACCTGAACTTTGAAATCATCATGAAAAATGTTATTAGAAATTATGTGAAACCAAATGTTTATTTATCTAGACATGTTTAATTGCCAGCAAAGAAAGCAATTAAAAGTAGCTGTAGAGTAAGAGGCCAACCTTCGTTAAACATGGTTTTAAGATTGTTACAGAACTTGTGGTGATGATAACATGGTGTCTTGGAGGATGTTAACAACTGTAGCAGGGTGTTAATTAAGAATGATGTAATCTGCAGCTCAGAATTATTAGTATATGTTAGTTTAGCTGGACAGGAGCAAAACCTAGTTTCAGTTGTGATGAGAGCTCAAATCATATTTATAGTGGAAAGATTAACATTTTATTTTTATGCTGTTCCTGAGACAATTTAAAAATCCTGAATGAAATACAATCTAATGTAAACATCAAGGCCCTAGCTCATTTACATATGTGCCAGATTTTCAAACTGATTGCTATTTGAACCTAATCTGTCATTGCTAGCTGCATTAGCTACAACAAACATTACATTTACATATTGATTTCTTATTTTGTTTTAGTGTAAATAACCCATAATTATGGTAAATTTGGTCTTTTGTTGACAAGAACTCATATGACTCTGTAAGTTTAGAATGGAAATTTAAATTGCCATGTGTCACGCTTTTTAATTTAAAATCTTGATGTAGCTAAAGAGATAAAAATAATATTGTAGATCACAAAGTATTCCTAAAGAGACAAAAGAGAGAAAAAATGTTAGGGCATTTGGAAAGATATAAATGGTAAAGTATTAATGAAAAATTCAATACCACATTTTAAAATTATTACATTTTTATAATTAAAAAAATCACAGTAATCTCAAATAAAGTCTTTGTTCTTGCTTCACTATCAGGCCATATTTAGAAAATAAAATCTAGTGAAGATGAACCTTATAAGCCAATTTTAAATTGTTATTTTTGTTTAAAATATACAGTGCAAGAAAAGAAATAACATATGCACATAACAGGAATGAAATGAGATTTCAATCACTGTATTGATGTTAGTACTTTATATTCGTCTTAACTGCACACATAGCACTGATTTGAGAAGTATAATTTCACTGCTGAGAGCTCATATTTGTCAGTGGACATATAATGTTATTTGCTCTACTTGATGCAGCAAGTCCATGGTTCCCATTTACACTGATTAAAAGTGGATTGTGGCCGGGCACGGTGCCTCATGCCTGTAATCCCAACACTTTGGGAGGCTGAGGCAGGCGGATCACAAGGTCAGGAGTTGAGTCCAGCCTGGTCAACATGGTGAAACTCTGTCTCTACTAAAAATACAAAAATTAGCTGAGCGTGGTAATCCCAGCTACTCGGGTGCCTGTAATCCCAGCTACTTGGGAGGCTGAAGCAGGAGAATCGCTTGAACTCGGGAGGCGGAGGTTGCAGTGAGTCGAGACCACACCATTGCACTCCAGCCTGGGTGACAAAGCGAGACTCCGTCTCAATAAATAAATAAATAAATAAATAAATAAATAAATAAATAAATAAATAAAGGATTGTATTTTTGAAGTTAAAAATATAGGGCCCATGTAACTGTAAAAATGGTCACTATTCGATTATTCAGGCATTTTTTTATGGTTAATGTTTTTATGGAGTTATAATTCATATACAATAAACATACAATTGTTTTAAAAATTGTTTTACAGACATGAGGTCTTGCTATGTTGCGCAGGCTGGTTTTGAACTCCTGGCCTCAAGTCATCCTCCCACCTCAGCCTCACAAAGTGCTGGGATTACAGGCATGAGCCACCATTCCCAGCCAGGTCTTAAGTGTCTCTGAGTTATACGAGTTTTGACAAAAGTATATTGCTTTCTGTGATACCCTATGAAAAGGGATTTTAGTGAGTGAGATTTCAATTTGGATTTGTACATTAGAAGCCTGTGCTGAACTCATGACAGCTGTTTACTTGAGTACTATGAATACAGAGGCCCTAAAAGCCTTTATATTAGTCCCCTTGGGCTGCCATAACAAAATACCATTTATTGGGTAGCTTAAACAATAGCCCTTTATTTGTGAATGTCAAAAGTCCAAGACCATGGTGCTGACAAAATCAGTCCCTCATCCTGGCTTTGTCACCTTCTCATTGTGTCCTCCCAAGGCAGAAAGAGAGAGAAAGCTCTTATCTGTCTTTCTCTTCTTATAAGAACACTAATTGCATCATCAAGGCCCCACTCTCATGACCTCACCTAAACCTGATTACCTCCCAAAGACCCCATATCCAAATAATCATCACATTGGGGGTTAGGGCTTCAATGTATGAATTTTGGAAAGTATACAAACATTCAGTTCATAGCAGCCCTGAAGCCCAGGTATTGTGTCCGGAATTGGTTCCTTCCAGTGGGTTCTTGTTCTCGCTGACTCCAAGAATGAAGCCGCGGACCTTCGCGGTGAGTGTTACGGCTCTTAAAGATGGTGTGTCCAGAGTTTGTTCCTTCAGATGTGTACGGAATTTCTTCCTTCTGGTGGGTTGGTGGTCTCGCTGACTTCAAGAATGAAGCCACGGACCTTTGCAGCAAGTGTTACAGCTCTTAAAGGTGGTGCAGACCCAAAGAGTGAGCAGCAACAAGATTTATTGTGAAGAGCAAAAGAGCAAAGCTTCCACAGCGTGGAAGGGGACCCGAGTGGGTCGCCACTGCTGGCTGGGGTGGCCAGCTTTTAGTCCCTTATTTGTCTCTGCCCACATCCTGCTGGTTGGTCCATTTTACAGAGTGCCGATTGGTGCATTTACAGTCCTTTAGCTACGCACACAGCACTGATTGGCGTGTTTTTACGGAGTGCTGACTGGTGTATTTACAATCCTTTAGCTAGACCCAGAGCACTGATTGGTGCGTTTTTACAGAGTGCTGATTGGTGCATTTACAATCCTTTAGCTAGACACAGAGCTCTGATTGGTGTGGTTTTACAGAGAGCTGATTGGTGTATTTACAATTGTCTAGCTAGACACAGAGTGCTGATTGGTGCATTTTACAATCCTCTAGCTAGACAGAAAAGTTCTCCAAGTCCCCACTCGACCCAGGAAGTCCAGCTGGCTTCACCTCTCAGTATGAATTAATCTTTCCTAGTCTAGTTGTTTAATTTTGATGTATACTTTATAATAGTGAGTGCTTCCCCTAGTACTATTAATGTATTAATAGGTGGGCTATGGGTTAGTTTAGCTAATTCTTCTGTCTACTGAAGACTTTAAGAGGGAGTTCTGGATTCAAGGAATTCCTAGAGAGGAAATCCTTAAATTACTGTGATTATTATTGGTTCAAGACAGTTTGCCTACTACTATTGTACCCTGTGAAATGGGCCTGCTGCTAGTTGGCAGGAGGGAAGTCATTCCTCTTCTTCATCAGGAATTAATAAAGTGGATTGTTTTACTAACATAATTCAACCTTAAGTTCACCTTGAAAAATTACTTTGTGTATTAAAATAACCCTGTGCTTTCTTACAAGTGGGTTGCAGAAGTACTCTCTGAATGAGACATAAACTCAGTCAAGACAATAAAGAGTGTTACATTTATTTTCTTTGTGTTGTTGATGATTTTATCAATACTTGATATATGTAAGCTAATAATATATGGCTTTGTATGTTCATATATATAAAAATACCTGTGCTAGAGCTTCAAATTTATTAGGGCCTATGTTTTAAAATTTGCTATACCTAATTTTCCCCTTTTTAAAAAATGTGGAGGGGTATGTAAAATGTATAAACTAAGCCGGTGACTTAAAATTACATTGGTACTCATTAGAAGGCTGGTATTTTACAGGTAACCTCTCTGTTCCTGATAAATATTCATAGTTAAATTGGAATGGGATCTCCCCAGGCATAGCTAGATGGACATTCTGCTAATGAAAGAGCATTGGAAGCCTAAGACTTGTGGACAAAGAAGAGAGTAGAGAAAAGAAGTTTTACTAAAAAGATTTCTAGAACTGTTAATGGCATAGGTATTAATGCTTAGTAATAGTACTGAGAATTTTAAAGTGGTTATCTATCTATATTTTAATAGTATCTTCTGTTACATGCCAGATTTATTTATTTATTTATCTGTTTGTTTATTTTGAGACAGGACCTTTCTGTGTTGCCCAGGCTGGTCTTAAACTCCTGAGCTCAAGCAGTTCTCCTGTCTCCGCCTCCTAAGTAGCTGGGATTACAGGCACACAGCACTGTGCCTGGCTCCCACCCCGCCACCTTCAATTTTAAAATTAAGAAACAGTATAGAAAAATTATAAGGTGATATGTTTGAAAATGTCTAGCATTTTGCATACTCAGTGCTTAATAATGTTAACTTTCATTTTATTTTGTTGCAAATAACACTGGAGCCCCAGGGACAAAGTCTGTGATTCTGATTATATTTTGAACATTAACTTCAGTCTATATCTGAGGGTAGATGAAGAACTGTTAGTTTTAATAGTCTTTTTCTGTTTGTAGAAACCAAATTGTGTCCTTGTTGATAATGCAAATAGATATATATTTTTAGAACTTTGCAACAGGTTTTTTTTTACTTTATATCTGTTACAGTGTTTGAAACCTAAAGAAATACATTTTCTCTTCAAATTTGGATGTGTATATAAATATCATTTGTCTGGACTCAGGACACTCAATGCTATGGTTTCTTGGCCTACGTCTGCTCTGAAATCAAGCTGTGTCTGTCTGCCCAGGGGCTCTGAGAACATGGAAAATAGACAGAGCTTAGAGTTATTAGAAAAATAAAAGCAAATGAATTTGCAAAGAAAAACCAGTGAGGAGAAGGATTTGATTCATCTTCCAAGGGTCCATAGCTGTTAACCCAAGCCATTCTTGGGGGATATCCAGTCTCTTGAGTGGCTGGGACTCCATACCCCCTTTCCTTCTTTAATAGGTCTGTCAAAGGCAGTTCCCACAAAAGCTGGCTAAAAAACTGATACCCAGCTCCAGCGTCTGAGGGTTCATGAAGATGTGGAGGTTTTTTTGTTTGTTTGTTTTGGTTTTTTGTTTGTTTGTTTTTGAGACAAAGTCTCACCTTGCTGCCCAGGCTGGAGTGCAGTGGCAGTCTTGGCTTACTGCAATCTCTGCCTTCCAGGTTCAAGAGATTCTCCTGCCTCAGCCTCCTGCGTAGCTGGGATTACAGGCGGCCGCCACCACACCTAGCTAATTTTTTTTTTTTTTTTAATTTTTAGTAGAGACACGATTTCACTATGTTGGCCAGGCTGGTTTTGAACGTCTGACCTCAAGTAATCCACCCGCCTCAGCCTCCCAAAGTGCTAGGATTACAGGCGTGAGCCACGACACCCAGGCGAAGATAATGCAAATATTTCTATTGAAAAAAAATCATAATGAAGAAAAAAAATATTTATACCAGTGAAGAGAGAATGAATATATGGTCTGTCAAAACCATTTCTTGCATTGAGTTAAAATTCAAACTGCTTTTAAAAAGTTTGTATATCAGGCCAGGTGCGGTGGCTCATGCCTGTAATCCCAGCACTTTGGGAGGCAGAGGCGGGTGGATCACGAGGTCAGGAGTTCCAGACCAGCCTGGCCAAGATGGTGAAACCCCGTCTCAACTAAAAATACAAAAAAATTAGCTGGGCATGGTGGGTGCCTGTAAACCCAGCTACGTGGGAGGCTGAGCCGGGAGGATTGCTTGAACCCAGAAGGCAGAGGTTACAGTGAACCGAGATCATGCCACTGCATTCTAGCCTGGGTGACAGAGCAAGACTCCATCTCAAAAAAAAAAAAAAAAAAGCTTTTACATTTGCCAGGCGCAGTGACTTACGGTTGTAATCTCAACTACTCAGGAGGCTGCAGCAGGAGGATCACTTGAAGCCAGGAGGAGACTAGCATGGTCAACATAGCAAAACCTTGTCTTTGTTTTTTTTTAAAAGGTTCTACGTTTGCTTATATCTTTTTTTCTGTCTCTAATTGAAAAGAAAACGTAGTTTTTTGGCCGGACGCGATGGCTCATGCCTATAATCCCAGCACTGTGGGAGGCCAAGGCGGGCAGATCACCTGAGATCAGGAGTTCGAGACCAGCCTGGCCAACATAGTGAAACACCGTCTCTACTAAAAATACAAAAATTAGCCAGGTGTGGTGGCACATGCCTGTGGTCCCAGCTACTAGGGAGGCTGAGGCAGGAGAATCGCTTGATCCTGGGAGGCGGAGGTTGCAGTGAACCTAGATCGTGCCACTGCACTCCAGCCTGGGTGACAGAGTGAGAGACTGTGTCTCAAAACAAAAGAAAAAGAAAACATGCCTTTTTTTTTTTTAACTGTTTCATTATTTCTTTGGTTAACACTCATCCTTTTGACCCTGAAGATCAAAAGTTGAAGCAGCGTGAACTTTTTTTTTTTTTTTTTTTTTTTGAGGGTCTGGCTCTGTCACTCAGGCTGGAGTGTAGTGGTGTGATCTCAGCTCACTACAACCTCCCCCTTCTATCCTCAAGAGGTCCTCCCACCTCAGCCTCCTGTAGCTGGGACTACAGGCGCGTGCCACCATGCTGGGCTAATTTTTGTATTTTTTGTAGAGTCTGGGTTTTACCTTGTTGCCCAGGCTAGTCTAGAACTCCTGGGTTCAAGTGACCCACCCACCTTGGCCTCCCAAAGTGTTCAGATTACAGGTGTGAGCCACAGCGCCCCCCCAACTTGAAGGTAAAAGACTGCTCCAAGGTGGCTTAACCATGGCTAACTATCATAACCAACATAAATTAGGGGGTACTGTGTGAGAGAAAATTGCTCCTGGATGCTGCAGCTGAGGACTCAACACATAGTTAGCTTTAGAAGCTAGGATCAGTTTGCCTAGATAACATTTTAGCAAAAATGTCTTTGCAAATTACACAGATTACCATGGCATTTTTTTTTCTTTTACAACAGAGTCTCTCTCTGCTGCCCAGGCTGGAGTGCAGTGGTGCGATTTCGGCTCACTGCAACCTCTGCCTCCCAGATTCAAGCAATTCTCATACCTCAGCCTCCCGAGTAGCTGGGATTAGAGGCGTGTGCCACCACGCCTGGCTCATTTTTGTATTTTTAGTAGTAACAGGGTTTCACCATGTTGGCCAGGCTGGTCTCAAATTCCTGGCCTCAAGGGATACACCCACCTCTGCCTCCCAAAGTGTTAGGATTACAGGTGTGAGCTACCAAGCCCAGCAAACATAGCGTATTTCTTACAGCCTTCCCCACTAACCCCTCTCCTCAGAGTCATCACAAAACAAAACTTAAGCAGTTCACATGCCAGTTTCTGTGGAAAGCATCACTGGTCTAATTTAGTTGTTATTCTGTGTTTCCATAGCACCTTAGGAAAATCAGTATTACAGAAGCACAGGGGTACTATATGTGAATTGCAAGTTTGCTTCTTTGCCCATCCCTCAGTAGACTCAATAAGGGCAGAAATGTGATCTTACTGTGTTCACTTCCTTAGTACCTGAAGGTCCAATCATAAGAGTGTTATCTCTGAAGTTAGACCTAGGTCATTGCTACCTTTTTTGTATGATAGTAATTAAGTAAGTAACATCAGTTTCCTCATCTGTAAAATGGAAATAATGATAATAACTTCATAATGATATGAATCTCTTAATGCCTGGTATGTGGTAGCGCTTGTTAAGTGTTAGTCATTATTATTAATGGCTAAGTGAATGGAGCAGGCTAGAGTCTAAGTTTAAAGATAATACCCTTATCTGACTTCTCCAAACAAACTCTACTCATAAGGAGCACGAATGTGGTAGAATCAACCCCAAACAAGACCTCTGTAAAAAAGAACAGGCCGGGTGTGGTGGCTTATGCCTATAATCCCAGCACTTTGGGAGGCTGAGGCGGGCAGATCACGAGGTCAGGAGTTCAAGACCAGCCTGACCAATATAGTAAAACCTTGTCTCTACTAAAAATACAAAAATTAGCCGGGCATGGTGGTATGCGCCTGTAGCAGCTACTCGGGAGGCCGAGGCAGGAGAATCGCTTGAACCTGGGAGGTGGAGGTTGCAGTGAGCCAAGATCATGCCATTGCACTCCAGCCTGGGAGACAGAGTGAGACTCCATCTCAAAAAAAAAAAAAAAAAAAAAAAAGTCAGTGTGGATAACATTAGGCACAATATACAGTTATGTTTGGTGATCAAAACAAGGTTTTATTCTGTATGAACTCCTGCCAGGGGATAGAACTAAAACATGAAAAGTAACTACTACAAAAGCACTGTAGATCCTTTTGCTGATGTTTCACTATCACTGTAAGATTTTAAAGTATGAGTACCCTTCAAAAGTGTTCTGTTTTCAGTAAGTTGTAATAGCTCACCTTATAACTTATGTGCAATAAAAATTCCCACTTGGCTGGGTGCGGTGGCTCATGCCTGTAATCGCAGCACTTTGGGAGGCTGAGGCAGGCAGATCACGAGGTCAGGAGTTTGAGACCAGCCTGACCACAATGGTGAAACCCCGTCTCTACTAAAAATACCAAAATTAACTGGATGTGGTGGTGTGTGTTTGTAATCCCAGCTACTCAGGAGGCTCACGCAGGAGAACTGCTTGAACCTGGGAGGTTGAGGTCGCAATGAGCCGAGATTGCGCCACTGCACTCCAGCCTGGGTGACAGTGCAAGACTCCATCTCAAAAAAAAAAAAAACAAATGCCACTTGGCCGGGCTCGGTGGCTCATGCCTATAATCCCAGCACTTTGGGAGGCTGAGATGGGCGGATCACGAGGTCAGGAAATTGAGACCATCCTGGCTAACATGGTGAAACCCCGTCTCTACTAAAAATACAAAAAATTAGCCGGGCGTGGTGGCACACACCTGTAGTCCTAGCTACTCAGGAGGCTGGGGCAGGAGAATCGCTTGAACCCGGGAGGCAGAGGTTTCAGTGAGCCGAGGTCGCACCACTGCACTCCAGCCTGGGTGACAGAGCGAGACTCTGTCTCGAAAAAAAAAAAGGGTTTTTAAATGTAATATTCATAGTTCTATGAGTGAAGGATTATCTTCCTCTTCTAAGAATTTGCAGAGTGGTTAAGTGCCTAAAATAGGGTCTTTTACATGTTAGACACTCAATAAATATGGTTGAAAGAATGAATGGGGAAAAAAAGAATGAATGACTTGTCGAGGTCAAAGAACTAGCAAGTAGTGAAACGGATTCAGATCTGGCTTTATGACTCCAAAGCAGTTTAAAGCCATAAATATTATGCTTGCCAAATTACCCTCTTCCACAGCTATCCAGGAATTGTAGAACTAGACAAAATTGGTGTTCTAAAGCAGTCTGGCAGTCAAACTGGTCCTGGCAAACCTGTTTGCAAAGTTATTACACAAGTCTGCCAGTCAAGATCAAGAGACATATCTAAGGAATTGCATAAAGGCAAGCACTAAAAATATTAAACATATGCATAGATTCATATGTAAAGGTAAAGGAAGATCTATATAACAATCAAGACTTCTGGAACTCCGAGCTCCTCAGCCTAGCATTTGAAGCCCTCCATAATGGAGGTCTTTAACATTGTTAAGGTTTTCTCTGTCAGAAACCTTTCTTCACATCACCTTACACTTCTTCCTCATTGCTTTCTAACACGTTTCTTAATATTCCCCCATCGTCGTTTCTGAACTGTTCTATGTCTGAAATCATCCTCCATATCTACTTATCAAATTATTGTCCATTTTTCTTCATAGTACTTTAAAGTATTCTCCCTTCTCCACAATCTTAACATCTTTTCGAACCTCTCTGAGGTCAGTGATTTCTATCTTTTATTCCTGTATTATTACAGATAATAGGAATCAAATAATTATAGAGTGAATGAATGAGCGGTAAACTTCTAGCAGGCAGGAGTCTTGTTCACCTTGTATCGCCCAAGCAGCCTAGCCTTTTGGGAGATAGGATGCTCAGGTTTGAAGAACATAGAATCAAATATAGGTTAGGGGCTGGATTCTACCTCTTTGTAGCTTGATGACCAGGGACAATTAGTTCCACCTCTTTGTAGCTTGATGACCAGGGGCAATTAACCTTTCAGAAGTATAATTTTGTGAGTAAAATGAAACCTCAGGCTAAAAAAATGATAATCAGTAGTTCTTTGTATGCAGTTCAGAATATGCAGAAGTATTTCTTGAATCTTTATACAGTTGAATTGAATCACCTTCTAGTGTGCTACTTTCCAAGGGATATACTGATAAGTAATCAGTTATTATAAAAACATATATAGTCTAGAATTCAGGGTATCCACACATGAAACAAAGCAAACTGTACAAGACAATAAAGTATGTGATATAGGAATTCAGAGGAGAAGAGAAGGTCATTACTAAACCCAAGTAGAGGCCTGAAAGGTGATCTGAAAGCTGTGCAGTATTTGGAAGGGAGCAAAGGAAAGGAGGATGAGAACAATATGAACAAAGATTGTAGTGAGCTTGTTTTTGACATGAGGGGATGTCAGACAAGCTCTAGAGAAAAAGCCACATTTTGGAGAATAGTTGTACAATAGATCTACCTTTGAAAGGCCTTCAAACCTCAGGAAGTCTTTCCATTACTCGCCATTTCTGTCCTCAAATTCATTCAACATACATATATTGATCATTGACCCCATCTATTGTTTGAGCCTCATTTCCCAGTAGACTTCTCTCACGCAGCCTTCACTGCAGTCACATTGAGCTTTTGGCTGCTTCCTGAATGTGGTCATTTTTCTGCCCTTCCCACCTTTAATGCCTCAGTAGCATTTGGCGTAACTGATCCCACCCTCCTATTTGAAACAGTTATTTCTTTTGGCTCCCTTATACTAGACTTTCTTGATTTTTCTCTTCTCTCACTGATGATTTATCAATCTCCTTTAAACTGACTCATTCTCCTCTGCTTGATTTCAAATGACTGAAATGCCCTAGGGTTCCATCTTGGCCTCTCTTTTGTCTGTGTCACTTATTTTTCTAGGTGATTTGTTTTGGCCTCGAAGCCTAAAAACTGACTATATGGTACTGACTCTCCTGCTCTGGGCTCTCTTACTTGACCTTTGAGTCTTATATTCAACTCTACATGACATTTTTTTTTTTTGACTGTCTAATAGACATCTCAAAACATCTCAATGGACATCTCAAACTTTGAACGAAAACTTCACTCTCAATTTCTCCACCTCACCTGCCACTACTCCACTTTTTCTTGTTAAATATAATTCCATTCTCTTATTTACTTAGGCCAGAAACCTTGGGGTTATGTTTTTCTCTCACACTCCATCAGTAAGTGGTCTGACTTCCACCTCTAAAATATATTCTGAACTTGACAGTTTTTCATCTGTGCCTCTACCACCTTAGTCCAAGCTACTGTCACTTCTTTCCTGAACCAGCCTCCTGTCTGCTCTCCCTACCCCCAGTCTTTGCTCACTGTGGCCAGAGCAGCCAGAATAATCTTGTATAAATGTAAATGTAAGTCATATCTTACTAGTTCTCTTTATAAAATGTTCCAGGGGCGGGCCGGGCGCTGTGGCTCACACCTGTAACCCCAGCACTTTGTGAGGCTGAGGTGGGTGGATCACGAGGTCAGGAGTTCAAGACCAGTGTGACCAACATAGTGAAACCTCATCTCTACTAAAAATACAAAAATTAACTGGGCGTGGTGGCGCACGCAGCTCCTTAGCACCTGGAACAGTGCAAGTCATCAAGTTAATGTTGATACATAAATGAATAAAATCAAAGTCTTAACTCCTATGGTAGTTTCCAGAAGGCAACATTTCTGTGTGAGATACAAAGATGAATGACTCTTGCCTTCTAGAAATTCACCATTCATTATGCAATAAATATCTGTAGTGTGCCACACATTATGCTTAATTTCTTTTCTTTCTTTTCCTTTTTTTCTTTTTTCTTTTCTTTTTTCTTTCTTTTTTTTGGGACAGCGTCTCCCTCTATCGCCCAGGCTGGAGTGCAGTGGTGCCATCTCAGCTCACTGCAACCTCCACCTTCTGGGTTCAAGTGATTCTCCTGCCTCAGCCTCCCGAGTAGCTGGGAGCCCAGCACGACGCCCAGCTAATTTTTTTTTGTATTTTAATAGAGACGAGGTTTCACCATGTTACCCGGGGTGGTCTCGAACTCCTGAGTCCAGGCAATCCACCCGCCTTGGCCTCCCAAAGTGCTGGGATTGCAGGTGTGCACCAGTGCACCCAGCCCATTATGCTTAATTTTTATGGATATAATGACAAAGGTCCTTGCTTCAAGAAATTCTATTTTAGTTGGGTGTGATTTTCTTTTATTTTGGTTACTAATATTTCATGTTACATATATTGGTGCTCGCTAAGTATAGTCTACAATTAACCTGTGAACGCTATGGAAGACAATAGGGCAGACAGATTATCTGCCTAATTCTTTTTTTTTTTTTTTTTTGACACAGAGTCTCGCTGTGTCACCCAGGCTGGAGTGCAGTGGCACAATCTCAGCTCACTGCAACCTCCACCTCCCAGGTTCATGCCATTCCTCTGCCTCAGCCTCCCAAGTAGCTGGGACTACAGGTGCCCGCCACCACACCTGGCTAATGTTTTGCATTTTTAGTAGAGACGGGGTTTTACCGTGTTAGCCAGGATGGTCTTGATCTCCTGACCTCGTGATCCACTGGCCTCGGCCTGCCAAAGTGCTGGGATTACAGGCGTGAGCCACCGTGCCCGTCCTATCTGTCTAATTCTGATCTTTATGTTGTGTGTGTATTTGTCACATAGTTACAGATGGGCAAAGGAGGAAAGTTGAAGGTTAAAACCATGGAGCACACCCAAAATATTTTCCTGGTACCATAGGCATGGCAAAATTACACTTGAGACAGACAGTAGAAATTATTCAGGCATACTGATGATAGGTCTTTATTTTCAATACTGATGAAAATAATATTTCTAATATTAGTTTAATACTCATTTAATATTAGTTTAATACTTCTGTATTTCACTTGTAATTGAACCAGAGTCTTTGAGTATACATTTTAGTAGCATATTTGGAATTTGATATAATTGACAGTTCCAGGAGGAGATAAAAATAGAACCATGACTTACATTTCTTGATTTTTTCACTAATTTCAAATACTCTTCATGGTTCTGATAAATTTCTAAATTTTGGAACTTTGTTATAGGCTTTACAAAATGTTGCTATGATTTCTCCAGTTTCTAAATTCTGTGTATTACTGAGTCCTAAGTGAAAGCACAATTATTTTGAATGAATTTTTACATAACAATTGAAGTTCTGTAGATTTCAATATCTTCTGAATTTTGACTGAAATCAGATTCATGAATATAAATAATAGTTTCATACTTCTGTTATTCTAGAACAGCTGTTTCACTTGGAATTGAACCAGAGTCTTTGAATATACATTTTAGTAGCATATTTGGAGTTGATATAATTGACAGCTTTGTTGGAGGAGATACGTATGCAGATATTATGAATTAGCCTATGACTTGTAGAAAATTCTTAAGTATACAAAGCATTTAGACTTGAAATTTAAAAACACCTTGGTAGAGAAAGAGTTAACAGGTTAGCTCCCCTTGGTTGTTCTCAGTGTGTTCTCTTGCCTTTAGGAGCTGAAAATATGATAACATTGGGCCCAGACATGCCTGTGTGGAGGTTAGGGTACTCCTGGGGTTTTTGCAGCTAGCTGTAAAGCAAGCTAGAACTTGTTCATCTCTGAGTTCCTTGTTTTTCTTTCAACCCTTTCAGTGCCCTGCAGGAGTCATTAAATCAAAACTTCATGCTGATCATCACCCACCGAGAAGTCCAGCGGGAGTACAACCTGAACTTCTCAGGAAGCAGTACTATTCAAGAGGTGAGTTATGTCTCACAGCTAAGAAATAAAGGTAGCTCATTATAGCTAATGTTGACCCTGTTAAAGAGGGCTTATCTGTTCTGGTTGGAAATTCTCTTTATGTTTCATTATTGGGTTCTTAAATTTTAATTAACTGGAGCATCAATGATTACTGTAGATATACTAAATGACTTGACCTAGAAAGATGTAAATGGGAACTCTTGATAATTTTTAAACTAGTCAACTTGAAACGCTGCTTAAAAATAACTGATTATTATGTAATATATTTCATGGTTTTATAGTCATTATTCAAAATACTATGGAAATTGTTGACAACATTCATTTTGGAGGATGCTTATATTTTATTTGAAAGGTTGCTCTCAAATAATTATTTATATTGTGTACTCTGCCTGTTTCTAAAAGGAATTTGAGGGGACTTTTCTTAAGCAGCTCCATCCTGCCCTTGGGCAGTATGCCTAAGATGCTGTTGGAGACTATCTTTTAGCTTAGAATATGAGAAGAGTCTATTTATAGTGTCAGTATTTTCTTCAACACGACCAACCAGGGCCACTGTTTCAAAAGAGAACCTCCCCCAAGAGAGAAGAGGTACCTTGTTGGTATGCCTTGGGCCCCAGCCACCTAAAAGCTAGTAATTCTATCTTCATGGAGGGTGGGGGGAACATTTAAGGCTATGACAGGACTTATGTTTAGAAACATTGAAATGATGACTATGTTGCATTACACCTTATAAGTTATGAAAGCAACAGTCATTTGTCTACTAATTTTTCTAAAGAGAATTAATCATGCTTAATCTTGGATTATTTTATAATGTTTTTCTTAGACTACATTTCTTAAAATAATCACTTAATGTCATTTTGAAAGAACCAGTTTTCACCCTAGTGTTTTCTTTCAGAAATATATGAACTGTTTCTGTAGACTATTAATGGTTTCCTTTTTTATATTGTGTTAATGAATTTCAGCTTCTGAATTTGACATGAATAACTCATTGCTTTATTTTCTTCATTGATTACTTGAATAGTTTGTTGACTCTAGAAACTAAACTCTTTAAAATTTTTTTCTGATCTGATTCCTAAACTGAATTGTAGGTTTGCGTTATTTAATTTTTTTTCAGGATTTTAAATATGTATAAATTGTAATTTCATTTTCAACCTCCATAATGAGTATTTTATTCTCTAAATTAAAAAACTTAATTCCTTGAAGAATCATTTGTGTTTTTATGGTAGAAATAATGTTTTGCCGTGGCTCCATCTCCGAGTTATTATAGCATCTGAAATTTTACAGGATAGTAAAATCTAAATTGTATATGTGAATATATGAAACAAGGAAATTTAGATTTAAAATAACTTCAGTTTAACCAACATGACAAAGATAAGAGGTAAATTCATTTTATTGCTGACTTGATAATTGAAGAATAGTATAATGTATGATGAATAAATATAGTTTGCCTTTTTTTCCTTCGGGGTTGAATTTTCTAGCCATAATTTTGCTGCCACCCTCTCAACCCCCACCCCTAGTTTCTGTTATTTGAGTGTGTTTCAGCTTTCTCCCACAAGAGGGCAGAAAGGACTATTCAGCAGATAGCCTAAAAATGCTATTCAGTGTTTTCAAATTAGCTTCTCTTATATTAACAAAAAGGAGCATAATGGCCAAGTTATTGTTTGATTTACAGATAATTGGCATATTGCAGGGAGGAGACTTAATTTCACCCTTTTAAATTAAACAGGGAGATTTAAAAAGACATAAAATATTCATTAATGTTCGGTGATTATAAAGTAGTGGCATATATTTATTTTGCCTTTATTACTGTTTCGATGGGAAAATACTGCAAATATTTCCGAAATCGAGTTGGCCATACTGACAAGTTGAAATGTTTAAGCAGCGTTAATGCAATCTGCTCACACCTGATATCCTATGCAGAATGATTCAAAATGACTACATCAATTATTAAAAGAAATATTTAAAATTCTGTAAATGTGCCATTGTGTGCCACAGTTGGCTGAAACTGTTCTCCGTGGCCTGCTATGTAGATTATCAAATATATCTTAAGCTTCAAGGACTTAAAACAGTAAATCTTTTTTATACCATTTTCTAAATGTCATTTTAAAAATGTTCCAGAAATATTTTTGCAAAGACAGATATTCTTATGTATTTCTTGTCAAGAATTTGGTTTCTTCTCCTTTTTCCTTTTTTTCCCTTTAAGTTAATTTAAAATAATATTTTTAAATGCTAGTTTGCCAGGAACAAATAAATGCAGTTGCTACTTATGTCACTTGCTTCTCTGTGAGTAGACAGGTACACATAGGCTGTTTTATTCTGTACAACTTAGATAAAGGATGTGGGACCTCTCTGGGCCTAGTTCTGTGACTTTTCTGCTTCAACTTGTGCAACACCTGTGATGGAGGGGGTAGTTTCAGGTGAAGGACAAGGTGCCCTTATCTACAGCTATTCAATCCACAATGACACTTAAGTATGTACATTTTTTCTTGTTGCATGATTGGAAAGTTAGTTTGATTGCATCAAGATAAAAATATAATTGTGAAACTATTTTGTAGTTTTATTTTATAATGCTAGTATTTGTCTTTTATTAATGTGAAAGCTTAATGATACCATATGTGCTAAATTGTAAATTAATCTATCTCACCAGTTTCAGGAATTTCTTTTCAGTATTAATAGGTCCAAGAATAAATCCTGACTAATATAATTGAGGGAAAGGAAAAAATGTTCAAAACACAAAGGTTCCTGGTCATTTTTTTAGTGTATTTTATATATATATTTTTTTTAATTTTTGAAAGCCTTGCATTTTTAAAAGAAAACTTTGCACTATTTTTCACCCAGAGGGAAATTTCTATTAAATGAAACAGGATTGAAAAAGGCACTATGATTTCAACTTTTAATTAGAACAAAGTACATTTTTTTAAAATACTGAGTTAGAAAATAGAACTAAAATGCAGTTTGAATTTCAAATAAACTATTCAATGACCATATGGTCATTGCAAGTTAATGGTGATAAACCAAGAGTTGTACAAGTGTTTGTTCATTCTGGCTTTGTGGTCTGCTGCCTCACAATGCGTGACTTGTGTCCTTTAGGTGCTCTAGATTTTAATTTAAGCCAGTTAGTTATTGAGGGTTTTCATTTTGATTTTGTTTTTTTAAAACTCTGTACAAATCCTTCCAGTTACATTATCCTCCTGGTTGGGGAGAAAGCAGTGACAGTATAAAAAGGTCAGAATGGAGAGAGTTGCAAGTAGTCTTAAAGACGAAAAATCTTTTCTGTTTTCCATTATGACCAAACAGCTTGTAAAAAATATCAAAGAATGTGACAGTAACTCTGTGATAGTCTGTCTTTTCAACCTTTTTGGGTCCTAAATTAACTATTTGTCACACTTTAAAATTGTGAGTTTCCTTAAATTTAAACAGGCTTACCTTATTTTAATGAATTTTTTTTACGCTGAGAATTCAGATTTGTCAACAGTTTATTGTGCAGATTCTAGTAATTCTCACTAATACTATTAAAGATCTGTGGTTACAAATGCACTTGGGGTGGGTTAAATTAAGGGGAAAAAAGATTGATTTGCTTTCAGCAAATCCAAAACCCAGGTGTGGAAAAGGATATGAAGTCTCTGAAATCAAGCCAACTTTTCTTGGAAACTGATTCTTTGTTATCGGCCTTACTACTGCAGAAGCTTCTGTTAGGCAAAATATTGTTTTCTTTGTAGATGTCATATAAATTTAAGGAATATACACATGACCCAGAATAACAATAAGAAACCTAAGTATTTTTAGTGCAGAATTATGGAGTATTACTTATCTGTTACAACAAGAAGCATGATGAATAGCTATTGGAATTATTTAAATCCTCTTCCAAGTTTCACTTTACCTCAGAAATCTCACTGTTCTTATTATTGTTGATTTAGTTCTTAATGGCATGAAAGGGGAAAATTGGCAACCTATAAAGATATATCTTGCAGGGAGTAGTAAAACATTTCAGTACTATTACAGTTTGTACAAAGTAGTGATTAAATGGGAAGCCAATAGAGTTGAATAAGTCTCAGGAACTGAATGAACTAAATACACAGATTATACCAATCCTTAAAAATAATCTGGGCTAAATAATGATAAGGCTAACTCTGATTCTGAGCATTTGAACCTAACGTCGGATTTTGTATGTTGTGTCTATTATTCTACTTGCTACTTTCTTAACTTGCTTGACTAGCGTATATTTTGGACTATTCTCCTTTAATGCTGGTGGCCAGTAACAGTAATTAAAATATGTAGTCTTTCACAGATTGTGCTAATTATTGATGTTCTAGTAGTGGGTTGACTATAACTCCTTAACTAACATGGCCTTTCTGTAAATGTTTTAAAGTATTGGGTGTTTTTTTTGGTTTGTTTGTTTTGTTTTCCAGTATGGGGAGGGTTGGGGTTGCTGGCACAGAACTGAAGTAAGAGTAGGGTAACTGAGAATGTGCATATGCAAGAGGGTAAATTAAGTTGTGTGCTTATTTAATTAAAAGTGTAAGTGGTTTGTTTTTACTGCAAGATAAATGGCATATATTGGATCAATTAGAATGAACCAATTTAATTAACATATATTATAGTTTGATTTTTTAAAATTTGAAATCACGAATGACATTTTAGCAAGAATGAAAGAGATAATTTCTTCTGCAACTGGGCAGTGAATTCAAGCCTTTATTCAGCTTTCAGAAAAGACGATTATGCATCTTTTAAATATGCATATATATTATTAGTTTCAAGTTGCATTTGAAAACTGAGATCTGTTGAAATCATACCACTTCAAATGAATATAAATCAGTAGGGATCATTTTATAAATATTGAGGTTTCCTGTGATTCTTAACAAATTATCCCCTGAAGTAATAAATTTAATATTTATAATGCAGCTCTTTGGAACTGACAAGTCTTTTCCCCTCTCTGGAACTATTTTAGAATAATCTGGATTGGATATCTTTTTTGGCCCATATAAGTATTTGTCTACCTGCATTTCAAGACGATAGAAGCAATGACATTTTAAGAATTAAGAACAGTCTTTAGCCTTTTGTTACTTAAGATATGTGTATCAAACATGATAGCTGACCACATTTCATCATCTGTGATTTATGTGTTGGTAGTTTTGAAATGCCTGGGTTAAGAGAAATTCCGTTCAGTTATCAGAAACTAATAAACATAAGATTTTTTTATATGCAAGAAAAGGCAGAGAGTAAATAATTGCACTGGTGACCAATACTGTAATAATCCTGTTTTACAATATGCACTTGACAGGTTGTAATAGTGCTAATTGAAGAGACTAATTCACACTTGCTTCATTCTATTCAAAGGCAAAATCAGCAGCTTGTTTTGCTTTTGACCAGATGGTCCTCATGAACACCTACTGTGCACTTTAAGTGCTTTACTAGAATTACAAAGGCCGGGGGCTGCGTTCGACTCCAAATGATTTGAGAAGAGAGAGAGAGAGGGGGGAAAAGAACCTCTGTGCTCAATGGATTTGGTGCAAGTAAATTAATTCTAGTGGACCCATTACACACAGCCCCCTTTTCAAAGCTCTGAGCCTCCTCGCTTGCTCTGTAGCAATGAGAAAGAGAAAGGCAGATTACTGCAAACAGAAATAAAAAAAAAAAGGGGGGTATGAAAGGGAGAAAAGAGGCCTTGAAGCCTTTCATATCATTTGAGTTTTTCAAGTGCGTTATTTTTGGGGAGGGTGGATGTATGAAAAGCCAATTGGAGTTTTTTTTGTTTTAAAGTGCGCTATTTAAGCACCATGAATATAGGCGCAAGAGCAACAGTTGACTGAGTTTACTGTGGTGAAGCTTTGTGTCCGAGGATGAATCAAATTCATTATATTCAACTCTTTGTGTTTTAACATGAATGTAGGGTTAGTTTCACAAGACTGTGTCTGTTTAGGATAATTATAATTTAATATTTTCCTTTCATAAAGTTATCACTGTAGATGTCTAAAATTTTAATCAAAGCAGATTTTGTACATTGACTTTGAAGCACCCTGACAGTTTAAAATTCAAAGGAAAGCTTTTTTAGTTTTCAAAAGAAAAGGAAGGCTCATTCTAATGGCATTGAAGCAGAGATTATTATAACTAATTAGAAGTCACACATCTGTTAGCTTTTGGTTTCTGACTTACTTATGTATTTTTTGAGTAAAATATATACTTTAAAAATATATTGCTGTTATTGTGTGAACCTAAAGGGATAAAATGCACTTAAAAGAGAACCATTTATTTGAGCCAACCATTTTTTGCAAATCTCTAGATGGTCCTATAAAAATATGTAATGTAATAAAGTACATTAAGTGTGAATTGCAGTTGTATAATTAATAATCTTACTTTGGAATATGCTTTCAAACAATATTTTCACACAGTTCTGTTGTCATAATTCTGATTATTAACCAAAGTTATGAGATTAAAAAAACCTGTCCAGTTTGTACAAATTTATAGTTATTCCTTATCCTTAAAGCTGTTCATGTATAGTACTGTAATTTGGAATACTAAGACTGTGAAATAATTAGTTCTTATTGTAAACTATGTGGGTTAGGATACAAGGAATCAAATTTAGGAATATACATCACCTGCTTTTTATGTTTTTGTAGTTCTAAATTTAATTCTTGTGATATATTTTAGTGGCATTGTTTACTTTTGTTTGATGGCATATATTACCGCCACCATGTTCATTTTAATTTTAATTATAGCTATTATCAAAGAATACAACAAAATCATACCAATAGTTCATCATGATAATTGTAAATGTTTCATAGTCTTCTTAAAGTTTGTATCGTCTCTTCAAATTAATGTCTAGAATTTATATTTTAAAAGGCATATTGCATCAATAAGCTTTTTATGTCAATAAGTTTTAATTACATTTTTAGAAAATAAAACACAGAAATGCACAAGCAACCCCAAAAATCTTTTTTATTTCTTAAAGACTTCATTTAAGAAGGTAGCATGCCTTTTATATATTTAAAATAAAATTTGATTCATATTAATGTACTCATACTTTGGGAGTGCTCATTGAAATGTAAGTTATAGGGTGAGGAGGGATATAAGGAGAATTCCCAAACCTTCCACCAGCAAAATATACAATGAAATTTGTAAGTAATGAGGCATTAATGAATTGATATCCTTGGGGAGAAAAACATTTCAAGAAAAAATATGAAAGATTAAGAAAAACTCACTGCAAAAAATTTTTTGCAGCAGACCATTTAAAATAAAGGTAAAGGTACTAGATTTCTTTCTTGTAGGTACAATAAAAAGCTATCTTTAAAGGCAGAACCTCAGTTAGCAGAAGTGGATTGATCATGACCATGTAGTCACTTACTTAGATGGGGCTGATTCTTTGGTTTCACAGAGACAGTGCTCCTCATGCATGAAGAAGAGGTTTTTCTTTTTCAGTATTAAAATATTAACTCCTAGATTCCTGAATGCCAGAGACAAGGTTATTTTCCTAGGGTATGTGTTGGGAAAGGCTATAATTTCTTCATAGATGTGGTAAGTACCACATTACTTAAGCTGAGAACTATTTTAATGTTTAACTATCTTCTAGTCCTAAGATAAGAAATAGTAACCAACCTCTTCATTCCTCCCCAACCCTCTGTAAAACAAACACACACACACACACAAGAAATTAAACCAAAGGATGGGTAAGTGAATATAAAGTGCTCATAAATATAAGCTGGACCAAGACTTGGCATATTAAGATAAGGCCTGCATGTAGAAAATTATTTACATGTTTATCTTTATATGCCAAAGGTTATTTGGTTACAACCTCTTCAAATATCTGGTTATGGTAATTTTTCTTTTGTCTAATGTGTCTTGTGTATGACTCAGTGTTATACAGTTAAGGAGTTTTTCTTTTTCAAACATACTTTTTGTGATAAATATTCTTTTAAAAAATCCTGCTGCTCAATATAGGGCTATAGTATAGTACCTTATTACCCTCAATGTACTCCTATTATTATTTTGAAAAACTTTTTTTTTAGAGAAAAAAGATTTTAAAAGCTTGTAGTAAACATTTTATATAAATGACAAAATGTATTCCTTGCTTTGTGGTCATTGCGTGACCAGACAGTAGAGTACTGGATTGTTCTAGGGTTTTACAGCTGCAAGGCAAAAGCATCTGCTCATTGCAAAGCCGGCATTGTTTAATTTTGACACTGACTTTTCCATGAGTCTTGTACCAAGCACTGGATTAGATGCCACTAAGATGAAATTTGTTTTAAGTTGCTCCCAAAGTGCAGCTGTTCCTATATACGGCCCTGTAGCTTAACCAAAACAGACAGACATAGGATCAATCAGAATCTTTGTACAGGGTCACCTCAGTATGCTAGGGGGGCCCAGAGAGAGAATGTTAATGATATTATTTATCATGAATAACTGCAAAATTAGTTTCTGGGCTTATTTAATGTCTATAGTACAGCCCCCCACCTTTTAAAAGCAATAGAACTGTTATTAAATATTTAGCTTTTTAAACTGGATTATCATGGCTAAGTATTAGAGTGTCCCTGTATGCATTAGGCACTATTCTTCCACAATCAATTGCAAGAAAAATTAGTTTATTGGTCACTAAAGTAGTGATTGGCTGAAAATAAGACCTATTCTAAAATTGTTTGCGGAAATCTTGAAAAGTGGACATTTTTATAGAATGATAATTTTTCTTTAATGTTTCAAGTGAATGAAAAATGAAAGAGCACCTCACATCCCAGGTTTCCTGGGATTGTGTGAATTTCTACCCAGCTGGTCCAAATTGATTGATACAGGGCCAAATATTTGTCTGCCTACATTTCAAAGTCTATAATTTGCTAATGAATTGTGGTAATAATCTTTCATCCTACATGAAAGATTTAGCCAAACAATTTGCTAAGTATATATTTTGATCATACAATTTTTGGACTTACACCAAGCTTTACATCTACTTACAGCTAATGCATGGGGGTGGAGGGAGGGCAGTAGGAAAAATAATACTGAACATGGACGCTTGATGGAAAAGAATGAAGGAAGCGTGAGGAAAGAAGGTACTTTGGAAAAGAATAATACTGGGAAAGTCCCATGAGTGACACAGAGAAACCAATTCTGTTTGTACTTAGAGTTCAAAATAGAATTTAAAAAAAATGCCAGTACAGTTTTAGTCCATAGTATCCAGAGATATATGGTATCCATTTAGATGAAGGCTAGGAAGGAATCTTTTTCTGTTTTGGCTACAGCTATTCCACACATTGATTATGATTATAATTTCCTAAAAACTTGATGCTGCAAAGTCAAATACCCACAAAGTTTAAGTAATTGAGGCATAACAATCAAAGGCAAATGTTTGTTGGGGTTGATTAAAAAGAATCTAATGAAGAAATAAATGTGATTTGACTAATTCCAGAAGAAGCTGAGACAGGAACCTAGTAAAGCTTTTGACATGACTGTAGGCACCCAAGAGAACATTTTCTCCCTCCAAAACAAGGAAAGACTGTATAAAGGAAAATTAGGCCTGTTTCTGGGAGGATATGTAGCATTAAGTTACCTTTGCTTGGGAAAGTGTAAACCTTATTTTTTATGTATTTTGGGAGAGGAGCATAAGATATACTCCAGAGGAAATCCAGGATTACACTATGGAATGAGAGAGCTAGGCAATGTTCAAAATAAGATTCTATCTTACACATGTAATACCTCTTCCATTGTTAGAAATCAAGGTGCCATGATTTCCTATTTGACTTATATAATTTGAATTGTTTTCAAGTTGTCCATGTGGAGAATCTTAAATAATATTGATAGAATTTCCCTTGCCTAGCCATTTAATACCAAGTAGTTAAAAAAAAAAAAAAAAAAAAAGGCCAAGCACGGTGACTCACGCCTGTAATCCCAGTACTTTGGGAGGACGAGGCGAATGGATCACCTGAGGTCAGGAGTTCAAGACCAGCCTGGCCAACATGGCAAAACCCTGTCTCTACTAAAAGTACAAAAATTAGCCAGGTGTGGTCGTGGGTTCCTGTAATCCCAGCTACTCAGGAGGCTGAGACAGGAGAATCACTTGAACCCAGGAGGCGGAGGTTGCAAGTGAGCCGAGATCGCGCCACTGCACTCCAGCCTGGGTGACAAGAGCGAGACTCTGTCTCAGGGAAAACAAAATCAAAAACAAAAAACTTTGTCTTATAGAGAGAAATCATATATATTATAAAAGAGATGGGCCCTCCATTTTATAGATTTTAAAGATAAGCAACTCTAGAATTTTTATATACCTGTGGGACCTCTTAAATGTATAGTTAAATGACACATTTCCAGAGGATTAATTTGTATTCATTTATATAATTCCCCTTTTGTTCTCTGCTGGAAATAAGCCTCCTTTAGATGTTAATACAGTGGATGTCTATCCAAGGTGGCACCACTGGATGATTTTTTTTTTTTAGTGCAATGGTGCAATCTCTGCTCGCTGCAACCTCCACCTCCCAGGTTCAAGCGATTCTCCTGCCTCAGCCTCCTGAGTAGCTGGGGTTGCAGGTGCATGCAACCATGCCTGGCTAATTTTTGTATTTTTGGTAGAGATGGGGTTTCACCATGTTGGGCAGGTTGGTCTCGAACTCCTGACCTCTGGTGATCCACCTGCCTCAACCTCCCAAAGTGCTGGGATTACAGACTTGAGCCACCGTGCCCAACCAACAATCTTTAAAGTATTTAGGAAAGTTAAGAATCTATGTGTAACTAGAGCTTTATTCAGATGAATAGAAAATTTTGTTTTACACATTGACTTTCTTAGCCTCTTTCCTTCTATTTTGCTGACAGTTAGAATCTATCAATTTAATACATGCCATAATTTTTTTTTTGAGACAGTCTCGCTCTGTCGCCAAAGGTGGAGTCCAGTGGCACTGTGTCGGCTCCCTGCAACCTCCACCTGTTGGGTTCAAGCAGTTCTCCACCTCAGCCTCCCGAGTAGCTGGGACTACAGGTGCCCACCACTACGCCTGGCCAATTTTTTTTTTTTTTTTTTTTTGTATTTTTTAGTAGAGATGGGGTTTCACCATGTTGGCCAGGCTAGTCTCGAACTCCTGACCTCAGGTGATCCGCCCACCTCGGCCTCCCAAAGTGCTGAGATTGCAGGCGTGAGCCACCAAGCCTGGCCTACATGCCATAACTTTTTGTAGGTATATTGTTATCACGTTATGGTAGTTACCATAGCAAATACTTAATAAAGTTTTGGTTTGGAGACCTTTGTGGGTTTTTTTTTTTTTCCTGGCTATAGTGTTATAGAAGAGATCCATAATCATTACTATGAAGGAAAACTTATAAAGAAAATCACATTTAAATAAAATTAATTATAAGTGAGATAATTAGTAAGATTCCTGATTTTTTTAATGAAAACTCAATTTCAAGAGCAAATATTAGAGTTACAGGTTATGTAGCTGAAATTCAAAATATGCTATTAGCATTTGTTTCTAGTCCTTTTGGTGTTCTGTTATCAAAGGCACATTATATTTACATGCCTGCCTGCCTTTGCCTAATGAAAATGTGAAATAATTCCTCCTAAGAGGTATGTTTATAATGTCCTATAATTATCATCATAAGAAAAGCATATCATTTAAATATCAGTTCATTGCTGTTGAATCGGGAGATGTTTCCCTTATTCCTCATATCCTAAACAAGGAAATCTTAATAAGGTATTTTTAAAGGCTGCTGTTTTTTTGCTGGTCAGTTTTTTTTATATATATGTCATGTATATGTCATATATATGTCATACATGTCATGTATATGTCATATATATGTCATATATGTCATGTATATATATAATGACACATATACATATAGATCACTTTGCTTGAAATTTGAAATATCAGAAATATAGTAAATATCTTAAGAGTCTTGATTTCTGTTGATAATTCTTATTTCAAATATTGACTCTAAAATTTGGTCATTATGTGGGAATTTAGAAATCTCGTGTGCTTCAATTGAACCATTTATGTGGGTGTGTGAGAGAGAGGGGTGTGTGCTAGTCTGTAGGCAGTGACTGTATAAGTAAATGTGTAAATATGTTGCTGTGAAATGTAAGTAATCTTTTAATCCTTAAGGTATTACTTAAAGGGCTCAGGGTTGAAATAGCGTTTTCTGTTGCCGTGGTGTTTGAATTTCTATAAATCAATTTTTTTAATGAATAATAAGAAATTTTATTTTTTATCTTAAAGTAGACTTTTACCTTATATGCATATGCTACAATAAGATTGTAAAAGTAAATTATATATACATAACAAGGCTTTCTAATACATAAGATTTTATAATATTGAGAGATAATAAATGTAAATGGTACTAATTTGATGTCATTAGCTTTACTTGTGTTAAGTGAATTAAAATTCCATATGAGTATTAAGACTGTGGAACCAGCATAAGGACAGACAGATAGATCAGTGCACTAGAATTGAGAACCTAGAAAGAAACCCTTACATTTATGGTCAATTAATTTTCAGCAAGATTACCAAGAAAATTCAACATATGGTGCTGGGACAACTAGATATCTACATGCACAAGAATGAAACTGGACTGTTCCCTCACACCAGACAGAAAGAAAAATTAACTTAAATCACAGATCCAAATCTAAGACTTAAAACTATAAACCTCATAGAAGAAAACAGGAAAAATTTTTCGTGGTTTTTGGGTTAGGTAATGGTTTCTCAGTTAGGACACTAAAACTACAAACAAGGAAAAATAGGTTATTTGAACTTCATCAAAATTAAAAACTTTAGTGCCTCAGAGGGCATCATCAGTAAAATGACATGACAATTTAAAGAATGGAAGAAAATATTTCCAAATTGTATATTGATAAGAGACTTGTATCTAGGATATATGAAGAACTCTTACAACTCAATAATAAAAAGACAAATAATCTAATTGAAAATTGGCAAAGATCTGAATAGACATTTCTCAGGAGAAGATATGCAAACAGCCAATAAGCAAATGAAAAGTTGCCCAACATCTTTAGTCATTAGGGAAATGCAAATAAAAAATCCAAAGAAATTGAAATCAGTGTGTTAAAGAGATACCTGCATTCCAGTATTCATTGAAGCATTGTTCACAATAAGCAAGATATGGAAGCAATGTAAGTGTTCATCAGTGAATACATGGATAGAGATCATGTGGTATATATGAATATATACAACAGAATACTATTCAGCCTTTAAAAAGAAGAAACTTCTGTCATTTGGAACAACATGGGAAGACCTGGAGGACAGCATGCTAAGTGAATAAACATGTTCTCACTTATATATGGATTCTAGAAAAGTCAAACTCATAGAAGTAGAGAGGAGAACAGTGATTACCAGAGGCTGGTGGTGGGGTGTGGACGGGTAGGAATGAGGAAAGCGGAGATGTTGGTCAAAGGATACAGTTTCAGTTTGACAGGAGGAATAAATTTTAATGGTCTTTCGTACAGCAGGGTGACTATATTTAGTAATGTGTTATATATTTCAAAATTGCTAAAAGATTAGAATTTAAATGTTCCCACCACACACACACACACACACACACACACACACACACACACACACACACACACAGTAAATACTTCAAGTGCTGGATATGTGGGGGTTGTTGTTGTTTTCTTACCCAGTCTGCAGTGCAGTGGCACAATCAAGGCTCACTGCATGCTCGAACTCCCGGGTTCCATTGATCCTCCCATCTCAGCCACCTGAGTAGATGGGACTACAGGTACGTGCCACAATGCCCAGCTAATTTTTGTATTTTTTGTAGAGATGAGGTTTCACCATGTTGCCCAGGCTGGTCTGATACACCTGGGCTCAAGTGATCTGCCCGCCTGGGCCTCCCAAAGGATTACAGGTGTCAGCCACCACACCTGGCCTGCTGGATATGTTAATTAGCTTAATTTAATCATTTCATAGTGTATACATATATCAAAACATCACTTTGTACCCCATAAATATACACAATTATTATTTGTCAATTAAAACAAAGAAAAATGGCCAGGCACGATGGCTCACGCCTATAGTCCCAGGAATCCCCACCTCTACTAAAAATACAAAATTAGCCGGGCGTGGTGGTGCATGCCTATAATGCCAGCTACTTGGGAGGCTGAGGCAGGAGAATTGCTTGAACCCGGGAGGTGGAGGTTGCGTAAGCCGAGATCGCGCCATTGCACTCCAGCCTGGGCAACAAGAGAGAAACTCTGTCTCAAAAAAAGAAAAAAGCAAAATGAACTACCCCTTCACACCACTAGGATGGCTAGAATTTTAAAAGGTAGGCTGTATGCAGTGGTTCATGCCGGTAATCCCAGTACTTTGGGAGGCCAAGGCCAGCGGATTACTTGAGGTCAGGAGTTTGAGACCAGCCTGGGCAACATGGTGAAACCCATCTCTACTAATAACACAAAAGTGAAGTGGACATTGTGGTGCATGCCTGCAGTCTCAGCTACTGGGGAGGCTGAGGCATGAGAATCACTTGAACCCGGGAGATGGAGGCTGCAGTGAGCTGAGATCGTGCCACTGCACTCCAGCCTGGGCAACAGAGTGAAACTGTCTGGAAAAAAAAAAAGGTGACAGTGACAAGTGTTGTATTGGCAAAGATGTTGAGAAATGAGAACTATTACGCATTGCTGGTGGAATTATGACATAATGTAGTAGCTGTGGAAAAAGTTTGATAGTTCCTCAACATGTTAAACATGGTTACCATCTATCTGACCCAGCAATTCTACTCCTAGATATGTAACAAGAGAATTGAAAACATGCATCCACACAAAAATGTGTATGTGAATGTTTATAGGAGATGGTTCATAATAGCCAAAATGTGGAAGTCCACTAATGAATGAATGGATAAACAAAATGTGGTATATCCATACAATGGAATATTTTCAGTCATAAAAAAATGGAATGAAATACAGATACATATGACAATGTTAATGAACCTTAAAAACATGCTAAATGAAAGAAACTAAACACAAAAAGCCACATATTATATAATTACGTTTATATCAAATGCCGAGAGTAGGCAAGTCTCTGGGGCATCTGGCTGGAGGGAAGGGAAAATAGTTAATGGTTGCTATTGGGTTTGAATTTTTGTTGTTTTTGTTTTTACATTTCATTAATAATCACAAGTTATGTAGCACAATGCATTTTAAATATTAAACTTCTTCAAATAATTATTTTCTTTGTATGCAACAGTTTTTTTTGTTTGTTTGTTTGTTTTTGAGACAGTCTTGCTCTGTCACCCAGGCTGGAGTGCAGTGGCACGATCTCAGCTCACTGCAACCTCCGCCTCCCAGGTTCAAGCGATTCTCCTACCTCAGCCTCCCGAATAGCTGGGATTACAGACGTGTGCCACCACACCCAGCTAATTGTTTTATTTTTAGTAGAGAGGGTTTCACCATGTTGGCCAGGCTGGTCTTGAACTCCTGATCTTGTGATTGCCCACCTTGGCCTCCCAAAGTACTGGAATTACAGGTGTGAGCCACCATGCCTGGCCAGTATGCAACAATTTTATATAAGAAATATAATGTAATTTGCCGGGTGCGGTGGCTCACGCCTGTAATCCCAGCACTTTGGGAGGCTGAGGTGGGTGGATCACCTGAGGTCAGGAGTTCGAGACCTGCCTGGCTAACGCTGAAACCCAGTTTCTACTTAAAATTAGCCGGGCATGGTGACATGTGCCTGTAATCCCAGCTACTTGGGAGGCTGAGGCAGGAGAATTGCTTGAACCCGGGAGGCGGAGGTTGCAGTGAGCCAAGATCGCACCACTGCACTCCAGCCTGGGTGACAGAGCAAGACTCCATCTCAAAAAAAAAAAAAAAAAAAAGAAATATAATGTAATTTAAACACAGCACAATGATCTTCCTATGTATACTGTAGAGTGTTTAATAAACATGGAGAGTCTGTTTAAATCTTAATGTTTAATGGGTACAAATTTGTTTTTGTTGTATTACCTCTCCCTACATAGGCTAATTTTCAGAATTCTAAAATAAAGTAACAGAAAATAGAATGGCATGTTTTTAAGGTTCATCTGTGTTGCCACATGTAATCCGTATTTTATTCATTAAGACTGAATGATATTCCATTGTGTGGGCATACCACATTTTTGTTCATTCATTAATGGATACTTGGGTTACTTCCACCTTTTGGCTGTTATGAATAATGCTACTGTGAACATTCATGTACATGTTTTTGTTTGGACATATGTTTTGTTTTGTTTTGTTTTTTGTTTTTTTTCAGACGGAGTCTCGCTCTGTCGCCCAGGCTGGAGTGCAGTGGCGCAATCTCGGCTCACTGCAACCTCTGCCTCCCGGGTCCACGGCATTCTCTTGCTTCAGCCTCCTGAGCAGTCCGGACCGCAGGTGCCTGCCACCATGCCTGGCCAATTTTTTCTATGTTTAGTAGAGACGGGGTTTCACTGTGTTAGCGAGGATGGTCTGTATCTCCTGACCTCGTGATCCACCCGCCTCGGCCTCTGAAAGTGCTGGGATTACAGGCGTGAGCCACTGCGCCTGGCCTGGACATATGTTTTCAGTTCTCTTGTTATATATCTAGGAGTAGAATTGCTATGTCAGATGGTTACTTTATCATATATATGATTTTTTCTGTGTTTTTTCTAATTGTAAAATATACATAACAAAATTTAGCATTTTAACCATTTTTACGTGTATAGTTCAGTTACATCAAGTAACATTCACATTCTCTTGCAACCATCACTTTAACCCATTTTCAAAACCTTTTTTGTCTTTACAAACTAAAACTCTGTACCCATTAAACAGTAACTCCTTATTCCCCTTTGCCTCTAGCTCCTAGCCAACCATGACTCTACTTTCTGTCAAATTCTTAATGTAACCACCCTAGTTACTTCATAAAGTGGAATCATACAGTATGTGGCCTTTTGTATTTGGCTTATTTCACTCAGCTTACTGTTTTCAAGGTTCATTCATGTTGTAGCACATGATAGAATTTTATTTTATTTTATTTTTTATTTTTATTTTATTTTATTTTGAGATAGAGTTTCGCTCTTGTTGCCCAGGCTGTAGTGCAATGGCGCGATCTCGGCTCACCGCAACCTCCGCCTCCCGGGTTCAAGTGATTCTCCTGCCTCAGCCTCCCGAGTAACTGGGATTACAGGCATGCGCCACAACGCCCGGCTAATTTTGTATTTTTAGTAGAGACAGGGTTTCTCCATGTTGGTCAGGTTGGTCTCGAACTTCCGCCCTCAGGTGATCCACCCACCTTGGCCTCCCAAAGTGCTATGATTACAGGCGTGAGCCACCGCGCCTGGCCGGAATTTTATTATTTTTTTAAGGCTGAGTAATATTCCATTGTATGTAAGTACCACATTTTGTTTATCCATTCACACACTGATAGACCATTGGGTTGTTTCCACCTTTTGAGTATTGTGAATAATGCTGCTATAAACATGGGTGTACAAATACATCTTTGAGGTCCTGCTTTCATTTCTATTACGTATACACCCAAGAAATGGGATTGCTGAATCATATGGTAATTCTGTGTTTAAGTTTTTGAGGAACAGGTTTCCACAGTGAATATACCATTTTACATTTCCTCCAGCAATGCAGAACAGTTTCCATTTCTCCATGTACTAACCAATACTTGTTATTTTCTGTTTTGTTTTATTTTATTTTATTTTTATTTTTATTTATTTATTTATTTTTTTTGAGATAGAGTCTCGCTCTGTTGCCCAGCCTGGAGTGCAGTGGGTGCGATCTCGGCTCCCTGCAAGCTCCACCTCCCGGGTTCACGCTGTTCTTCTGCCTCAGCCTCCCGAGTAGCTGGGATTACAGGTGCCTGCCACCACGCCCAGCTAATTTTTTGTATTTTTAGTAGAGACAGGGTTTCACTGTGTTAGCCAAGATGGTCTCGAACTCCTGACCTTGTGATCCGCCCGCCTTGGCCTCACAAAGTGCTGGGATTACAGGCGTGAGCCACCGCGTGTTTCATTTTTTAGAATAGCCATTCTAATGGAGGTAAAGTGGTATCTGATCGTGGTTCTGGCTTGCATTTTTGTAATGGCTAGTGATTTTGAGCATCATTTCCTTTTTTTTTTTTCTTTGAAATGGAGTCTTGCTCTGTCGCCCAGGCTGGAGTGCGATCTTGGCTCACTGCAACCTCTGCCTCCCAGGTTCAAGCAGTTCTCCCGCCTCAGCCTCCCAAGTAGCTGGGATTACAGGCACGCGCCCCATGCCTGGCTAATTTTTGTATTTTTAGTAGAGACGGGGTTTCACCTTGTTGGCCAGGCTGGTCTCGAACTCCTGACATCAGGTGATCTACCTGCCTCAGTCTCCCAAAGTGCTGGAATTACAGGCATGAGCCATCGCACCCGGCCAGTTTTGAGCATCATTTCATGTGTTTATTGACCATTTATAGAACTTCTTTGGAGGAATGTCTATGCAAATCCTTTGCCCATTTTTCAGGTTGGGTTTTTTTTTTTTTTTTTTGATTGATAAAACGTTCTGGAATTGGTTAAGGTGGTTGTATGACTTTGTGAATATATTGAAAACCACTGAGTTGTACATTGAAATATAAAAAGGAAACTAAATATGAAATGGAGAACTGAGAGCTTAAAAGACAGCTACACATACAAAATAAAAAATTATTCCGAAAAGGAAAACTAGAGAATCGGGAATTATGCCACTTGGGTAAAATATAAAAATGCCAAGTTTCAGGTCGGGCACCATGGCTTATTCCTATAATCCCAGCACTTTGGAAGGCTCAGGTGGACGGATGGCCTGAGGTCAGGAGTTCGAGTCCAGCCTGGGCAACATGGCAAAACCCTGTCTCTGCTAAAAATGCAAAAATTAGCTGGGCGTGGTGGCATGCGCCTGTAATCCTGGCTACTCAGGAAGCTGAGGCATGAGAATCGCTTGAACCCGGGAGGCAGAGGTTGCAGTGAGCCAAGATCGCGCCACTGCACTCCAGCGTGGGCGACAGAATGTGGTGCTGTGTAAAAAAAACCCCAAAAAAGAAAAACAAGTTTCAATATACCAATGTTTTCCAAGAGTTTAAAGAACTCTTTTTGTCATATTGCCTAGGTGTTTTTCCTCTCTATTGAAGTTAAACCAAGAAAAAATAGACTTTGTAATGTTGGATACAGTTTTCTTGAGTTTGATATTAAGCACTGGATAGTTTTATGGAACCATAGTTTATACGTGTTCCTCCGCTCTCCCCCGCTCCCCTCCCCTCCCTCCCCTCCTCTCCCTTTCCCTCCTCTCCCCTTCCCTCCTCTTCCCTCCCCTCCCCTCCTCTTCTTTGAGATAGAGTTTCGCTCTTGTTGCCCAGCCTGGAGCGCAATGGTGCAATCTCAGCTCACGGCAACTTCCACCTCCCAGGTTCAAGTGATTCTCCTGCCCCAGCCTCCTGAGTAGCTGGGATTACAGGCATTCGCCACCACACCCAGCTAATTTTGTATTTTTAGTAGGGACGGGGTTTCTCCATGTTGGTCAGGCTGGTCTCGATCTCCTGGCCTCAGGTGATCTGCCTGCCTTGGCCTCCCAAAGTGCTGGGATTACAGGTATGAGCCACCGGGCCCAGCTTCTGTTACATTTTTTAAAGGGGACATATTTCTACTCTGTTTCTGACTATTAGATGGCAGTTATGTTGAACTACTAGAATAACATTTCAAGTGGGTTGATAGCAATTTTTCTAGGTTATAATATAGACAGTGGTACTATTATTGGGTACCGTTTACATTATCATACAGGGTTTCTGTGACTAACCTTGCATAGTGCTTCCATCAGTATTTTTTCTGTTACTATAATGTAGTGAAAGTGTATTTGAGCAGGGGATGAATACTTTAGGGAATAAAGATATTAATTAGCCTGTTAGGAAAGCATATTCTCAATGGGGAAATTATCATGTATCATTTATATTTCTAGTTGAGATCCATTAGAAAGGAGAATGGTTTTTACTTCATAGTAATTTGAGTGTATTTCTGGGGAAAATCTGCTAGTCAGTGATATTCTAGTTACTGACCTTGAAAATTCATGCCAACTTCATTGAGGGGAAAGAGGAGGAAGCTTCATATTGAGTTAATGTTTTATACTTTTCAACTCATTTCTCCAACCTTAGTTCATTTGATTCTTAAAGCATCTACTAGTGTCAGTAGCTGTACACTTGTACACATAAAGCTGAACAAGATGAAAATGGCATCTCCTGGCTGTGCAACACAATGGTCCTGCTGAGGATGTGAATATAGGACTTGATAGTCAACTATTCTTGCTATATAAACAGAGATACTGATGCAGAAGATAAGTAAGTAGTATTTAAGAGTTCACAGTAAGGTCATTGCTTTTCCCCATTTTATGATTTGTAGTGCTTTCTCTGATTCCATTTCCTAAATCTTTCATCCATTAACTATACTATACTATATACTATAGCAGTAGTTTACCTCACCCTCCTTCTATCTCGCTACACGGACTCTTTATCAGTAAAGTTAGCATAACAGTAGGATCACTTCCCTGACACATGTTGTTTGTGAGAATGAAAGTGAGACAATGTAGGTGAATACAACTTTATTAACTCTAGAATACTTTTTATAGAAGTTATTTGTCTTTCCATGTACCTCAGATTTTACCAACTGATATTTACTTACCTGCCTCTGAACACATAAATTTTTTAAAAGGATGTGATTTCTTGCTCATGTAGTTCCCTCAGCTCTTCTCCCTCAGCCTTACCCCTTCTCCTCATGCCATTCAAAGATCCGTATGTGTTTCAAGAAGACTACACTCAGCTGACACATCCTTCAGGAAACCTTCTATAATTCTGTGTCGTATATGAAGATAACCTCTCCTTATCTCCTGAGTTAGCCTTGAAATACCACACAGTGATATTGTGCCTCATACAACATTCATTTGTATAATTGGTTTAGGCCATCTTATAGCCTATATACTCTTCGAGGAGGGGTACTATATCTTACTGATGTTTATATTCTCTATACAGAATTTTTTAAGAAGAGTCAAAGAACAAATAGTATTTGTTGAAATTAATTCAATTTCATTAAACCAATCTATATCACGTTCTATCTATATTGTAGCAGTTATTGGTGTTAACTTGCAAACATTCCATTGAAGTTATTAGTTGAATGCTCGAGCTTAGTGCAAAAAAGCTGATTATTAAATATTCAGGAATTTTGTGAATCTGACAAAGTGTTGGTACCTTGAAATTGGCTTCAGTGGGATCGTTTATCTCATGGAGATTGGCAAACTCTTAAAAACACTGCTTTTTGTTTTGGGAGAGCCATTTACCGGTATATCATTGGTTGTATGTCTGTAACCCCCACTAGAGTATGAGCTTCTTCAAGTTCATCTCTGCCTGAATGCCTCGACTGTGATAGGAACATTCTTTGCTGAATTAATGAATAAATAAGTGATTGAGTATATCAGCTGCTTTATTCCTCTACTGCCTGACCCCTGCTGGCAGAGACCGAATTTCAGAATCTAGTGAATTTTTTGAGACTGAGTTTTAAAATGGTCCATTGTCATAGACTGTAGTTTCTTTCTGCTTCAGAGTTTGAACCAAAAAAAAAAAAAAAAAAAAAGTCTGTTGGAAATCAAGGCTATTAAACACACATGTTTCAATAGCACAGTAAGGATGGCATTTCTGTCTATTATCACCTTGTTAAGCTACTCCTGCTATGACTTTGCTACTACTAAGTTTTTGGCATCTATTGCTTAACTAACTCACCTTTCAATTTCCAAGTTGGAAACCAATAGTGTGAACCATCTCAAATTAGCTGAAAGATTTCCTTTCACATTATAAGAGGTAACTAACTGATTAATTTTTCCTAGTCATAGATGCTATAATACCAACAAATAAAAAATGTAATGTCTTGAGGCCTTAAAATATTACTTTTTTTTTTTTTTTTGATGGAGTGTTGCCCTTGTCGCCCAGGCTGAAGTGCAATGGCGCGATCTTGGCTCACCACAACCTCCGCCTCCTAGGTTCAAGCTATTTTCCTGCCTCAGCCTCCCGAGTAGCTGGAATTACAGGCACGTGCCACCACACCCGGCTAATTTTGTATTTTTAGTAGAGACGGGGTTTCTCCGTGTTGGTCAGGCTGGTCTCGAACTCCCTACCTCAGGTGATCCGCCTGCCTTGGCCTCCCAAAGCTCTGGGATTATGGGTATGAGCCACTGCACCCGGCCAAAAACATTTAAAAAATTACTATATTAAAACAACTTGTATTTTCTATTAAGGTTCCTATCAGTTTTATCAAAAGTAACATTTATATAAAATTGAAATTGGGATATAATTTTTTTTTTTTTTAATGAGACAGGGTCTCACTCTGTCACCCAGGCTGGAGTGCAGTGGCGCGATTTCGGCTCACTGCAACCTCTGCCTCCTGAGTTCAAGGGATTCTCCCACCTCAACCTCCCAAGTAGCTGGAAGTACAGGTGCATGCCACTATGCCCAGCTAATTTTTGTATTTTTAGTAGAAACAAGGCTTCACCATGTTGGCCAGTCTGGTCTCAAACTCCTGGCCTCAAGTGATCCACCTGCATCGACCTCCCAAAGTGCTGGGATTACAGGCGTGAGCCACCACACCCGGCCGAGGTATAATGTTAAGAGTCATTAGGATTTTGTATTTTCTCTAAAACATCCTCCATAACCATGATGTATATATGTTTTTTTTTAAAATACTGTTTTTCTAACCATCCTATGTAACATCTATTGTCATCTAAACCTGAAACTATTTTTAATTTCTTGTTAAATTTTGGATAAGATAAGTGCACTATATTCAGATTTCCTTTTTCTTCTTTTTTTGTGACGGAGTCTTGCTCTGTCACCAGGCTGGAGTGTAGTGGTGTGATCTCGGCTCACTGCAGCCTGCACCTGCCAGGTTCAAGCAGCTAATTTTTTGTATTTTAGTGGAGACAGGGTTTCACCATTTGGCCAGTATGGTCTCGATCACCTGACCTCATGATCCGCCCTCCTTTTCCTCCCAAAGTGCTGGCATTACAGGCTTGAGCCACCACGCCCGGCCATATTCAGATCTTAACACTAAATATTAAAAGACTAAAAATAGCAGCTTCTCCCTGAAGTTCTCAGTTTTATGTTCGGTATACCATATTTACTGTTAGTTATAGTACCTGAAGTTACTTTCAAAATGGCTGAGATAATACCAGTATATATAATACTAAATATATAGCAGATTTACTTTTGTAACCAAGGAGGTAAGTAGGCTAATCAGTTACCAACATAATTTTTGTTTTGGAGTTCTGCCATCATTTTAAACAATAGGTTTAATATTTTGTTGGTAAAATCAAAACAGAAAGTAACATAAGACGACATGCATATTTGTTGGTTTTATTGAAAGATGCAAAAACCTTCACAGTTCCACAGCTCTCTGCAACCTCAATCTCCCTGCTCAATCAATCAGTTCTCCCACCTCAGCCTCCCAAGTAGCTATGACTGCAGGTGCGTGCTACCACAACCAGCTGATTTTTTTATTTTTTAAAATAGAGACAGGGTCTCCCTGTGTTGCTCAGGCTTGTCTGGAACTCCTGGGCTCAAGCGATGGGCCCACCTTGGCCTCCCAAAGTGCAGAGATTACTGATGTGAGGACTGCACCCAGCCTCACAGTTTTAATTAGGTACAAGTACCCTCTATCTCTAGAGGTACATCCTTTGGCATCAGTTACTCAGTTACACATTGAAATACTGCCAAGTGTGGTGACTCACACCTGTAATCCCTTCACTTTGGGAGGCCAAAGTGGGTGGATTGCTTGAGCCCAGGAGTTCATGACCAGCCTTAGCAACATAGTGAGACCCTGACTCTACAAAAAAATACAAAAATTAGCCAGGCATGGTGGTACGTGCCTGTGGTCCCAGCTACCCAGGGGGCTGAGGTGGGAGGATCGCTTGGGCCTGGGAGGTGGAAGTTGCAATGAGCCCAGATTGCACTACTGCACTCCATCCTGGGAACAGAGCAAGACCCTGTCTCAAAAAGAGGAAAAAAAACCAAAAAAAACAAAAGAGGCCGGGAACAGTGGCTCATGCTTGTAATGCCAGCACTTTGGGAGGCCAGGGCAGGTGGATCACCTGAGGTCAGGAGTTGGAGACCAGCCTGTCCAACATGGTGAAACCCCTGTCTCTACTAAAAATACAAAAAAAAAAAAAAATAGGGATTACAGGCTGGCACATGCCTGTAATCCCAGCTACTCGGGAGGTTGAGGCAGGAGAATCATTTGAACTCGGGGGGCAGAGGTTTCAGTGAGACGAGATTGCGCCATTGCACTCGAGCATGGGCAACAAGAGTGAAACTCTGTCTCAAAAAAAGAAAAGAAAGATTGTGCTGTGTGGAATTTGTATACCACAGCTATTGAAGATATTTAAAAATAAGAGCTCCAATATGTATTCTAGATGTAAAAAATAAAGAATAATGAAGTGATGAAATTTTAATAAAACCATGCCTGTTCTGTGGAAAAGTTAAGTGATAGAAGTTAATTAGGCCAGGCACAGTGACTCATGCCTGTAATCCCAGCATTTTGGGAGGTTGAGGGAGGCTTATCACTTGAGGTCAGGACTTCAAGACCAGCTTGGCCAACATGGTTAAACCCTGTCTCTACTAAAAATACAAAAATTAGCTGGGTGTGGTTGCAGGCACCTGTAATCCTAGCTACTTGGGAGGCTGAGGCAGAAGAATCATTTGAACCTGGGAGGCGGAGGTTGCAGTGAGCTGAGATCATGCCACTGCACTCCAGCCTGAGTGACAGAGCGAGACTCTGTCTCAAATCATCATCATCGTATTATTATTATTATTATTATTATTCTGAATGTAGTGTTTGTAATCTATAATATATGGCTAGTTTGTATATGTAAATGCATCTGTTAAGGTAACCATATAGATTTCTGTTGACTCTACTTTTAATTGGTTTGCTTAAATTCTATGCTTCAGTGTTCTGACTCCACAAACAAGAAAATCAGAGGTGTTTAAGTTGATCTGAGCATTGTGGAAACAGATGAAAACTCTCGAAATTCTGACCATTTGTCAGAAGTTGATGTTATGGGGGCTACCACATTGAGTGTTTTGACTAGACGATCCCTTAGGTCACTTTTGACTCAGAAGTTCTTAGAATCTGTGATGGATTTTCTTTCTTTCTTTTTTTTTTTGGAGACAGAGTTTTCACTCATCGCCCAGGCTGGAGTGCAATGGCACAATCTCAGCTCACTGCAACCTCTGCCTCTCGGGTTCAAGTGATTCTCCTGCCTCAGCCTCCTGAGTAGCTGGGATTACAGACACCCACCACCACACCCGCCTAATTTTTGTATTTTTAGTAGAGACGAGGTTTCCCCAGTTTGGCCAGGCTGGTCTCAAACTCCTGACCTCAGGTGATCTGCCTGCCTCGGCCTCCCAAAGTTCTGGGATTACAGGCGTGAACCACTGGCCCTGTGATGGATTTTCTAAGTGTTTTCTTAATAATATGGGAGAATATTATATTTCTAAGTGTTTTCTTAATAATATGAGAGAATATTATAACTTCTGTGTGAAGGCATTCTTTCTATAAAATGTACCTTATTTAAGGTATAGCAGGGAACAAACCAAAAAACAAGTTGTAATATTTAGTGATAAAACTAAGTGTCAATAACAGTCAAACCCTAGTTTCATAAAACATTAATTCAGTACTTCTATTATCAATCTGTTATACACTATCAGAGATAAATGTTTCTTCAACTTGGAAAACATCATTTTAATATTTTAAGATTTCCTAATTCTGAATTATAATTAATTCAACATGAAACAAAAGTAATTTCTTAAGCATTTACTGTATTATAGATCTATCACAGTGAAAGTGATTTTTCTATTTTAGCTAGATTTTAACTCAAGACAAACTATTACCAGGCTCTAGAACTTATTCCTGTTTAAGTCATTTACCAGAAATTGAATATATTGTGAATTTATGTAGTATTGTTATTAGATGTCTTAGTTGCCGAGATGTGCGGTTTAGACTGTACTAAAGTAAATGCATGTACAGAAGTGATTTATGTTTTAGTATTTGCATTTAGAATGTCTGTGACATGCAACTACCTGTGGAAATAAATAGCAGTTACCAATATTTTCATTTTATATTTACTACTATGTGCTTTACATTTTAACTACATAATGTTATACTTTTATTCATCAGTAAAAATGTGGCTAGTGAGATTCAGGGGAATGAAAGATGATCTCTAAATATATGACTTGAGTAACTGAGTTCATGGTAGTGCCATTTATTGGTTGGAGAGGACCAGGTAGGAGGATAGTTTAGTTTTGGCTATATTACCTTTTTATTTATTGTCTGTTAAATGTCTGAGTAGAGAGGCAGGATCATCTGTTGGGCAAATCCTTAGGTGTCTTTTTTTTTTTTTTCATCTGTGAAGTAGAAATAATGCCATCTATTTAATAGGGTTACTGAGGAGTGTGTTAATGTATAAAGCACATGGCATGTAATGCTTGAAAGAATGAATGAATGAAATGCTATTCTTTTTTTTTGTACTTTTTTTTTTTTTAAGAAAGTAAAGGAATAAAGAATGGTTACTCCATAGGCAGAGCAGCTGAAATTGATATTCAAAGCCTGTAACTACAGCTTTAAAAAATTGGAAGTGGCTTGCTTTCCATCAGTAATTTTGTTGCCACATATAGCAGTTACAAAACAATGTACTGTGTGTTAATTGTCATGTTTGGTAGATAAAAGATCTGGCACAGAAAAATGTTTTTGGTGTTTTTTTTGAGACGGAGTCTCGCTCTGTCACCCAGGCTGGAGTGCAGTGGCACCATCTCGGCTTACTGCAACCTCCGCCTCCCGGGTTCATGCCATTCTCCTGCTTCAGCCTCCCGAGTAGCTGGGACTACAGGCGCCTGCCACCACGCCTGGCTACTTTTTTGTATTTTTAGTAGAGATGGGGTTTCACCATGTTAGCCAGGATGGTCTCAATCATCCTGACCTCGTGATCCGCCTGCCTCGGCCTCCCAAAGTGTTGGGATTACAGGCGTGAGCCACCATGACTGGCCTTTTTTTTTTTTTTTTTTTTTTTTTTTTGAGATGGAGTCTCTCTGTCACCAGTCTGGAGTGCAGTGGCACAGTCTCGGTTCACTGCAACCTCTGCCTCCCGGGTTCAAGCGATTCTCCTGCCTCAGCCTTCTGAGTAGCTGGGATTACAGGCACCTGCTGCCATGCCCAGCTAATTTTTGTATTTTTAGTAGAGACGGGGTTTCACCGTGTTGGCCAGGATGGTCTCTATCTCCTGACCTCGTGATCCACCACCTTGGCCTCCCAAAGTGCTGGGATTATATGTGAGCCACCACACCTGACCAAAAAATGTATTTTTTAAAAAGCAACTAGTGGCTAGGCACAGAAGAAAGATCTGGAGAAGAAAATCTGGCCAAATGTGTAAATTACAAAGGGAAAGTACTAATTTGTATGTTTTGGATAACTTAAGACTGTGTGATATAACCACTTTTCATTCAAAACTAACTCTAGACTTTAGGCCCTTACCTGCTCCACCCAGCTTTAACTACTCCCACCCCCCTTGAACTATCCCATAATATAGAATCTAAAAACTGCATAGGAATTTCTCCAATCTTTCATAAGTTCAAACAGCATCAGCCTCATAGGCAAGTGTATAGAGACTGGGTAACCAGGCAACTGTACTCTATTGAAACCACAATGTCAGTTTTATTAACTCATGGGTCAGGCAATGTCAAGCATATATTAATGGGGCAAGTTCATTAGTGTCAGTGCCAAGCATATATGGAAGGGTAAGTTCATTGACTGACTAGGGTACTGTAGAGAATCTGTTTTGCCTCTAGCCTACATATCTCACAAAACTCACCATTTTTGTAAATAGAATACAAGGAAGATGGCAAGAACTGCATAATTCGATAAAAACTAGTTGCTCTTTTTTTTTTTTTTTTTTTTTTGAGGCAGAGTTTTGTTCTTGTTGCGCAGACTGGAGTGCAATGGTGTAATCTCGGCTCACCACAACCTCCGCCTCCTGGGTTCAAGCGATTCTCCTGCCTCAGCCTCCTGAGTAGCTGGGATTACAGGCATGCGCCCACCATGCCCAGCTAATTTTGTATTTTTAGTAGAGACAGGGTTTCTCCATGTTGGTCAGGCTAGTCTCGAACTCCTGACCTCAGGTGACCCACCCACCTTGGCCTCCCAAAGTGCTGGGATTACAGGCGTCAGCCACCGTGTCCAGCCCCAATTCATATTTTTAAAACTTAGTAATAAGAACTAAAATGAAATTATTTCATTTATTCAGATTGACATTCAGAAGTATAACAATTTTCCATCACAGTGTTTACTTTTTTAATTACTAAAGAAATACATGAGTCATTTTTATTATAAATGACTCAGGAATTCAGAAATGTAAAACATAAGAGCTCATCTTTATGAATTGCATGAATTTCTCCAGGATCAGTTCTTAGAAATGAAATGGCAGGGTTGAAGGGTACATGAATTTTATTTTAATATTGCCAAATTGCTCCTCAAAAAAGTGTTACCTACTTCTTCACCTAGCTAGAGTATGTGAGCAGGCATGTTAGAATATACACAAGTATATTCTTACTGACAACAGATATGACAGTATTTTTAGTTTTTGCCCAGTTGAAAGGTGAGAATGATACCTTGTTTTAATTTGCATTTCCTTAATTACTAAGTGAAGTTACCCATTTTTCTTTGTGTATGGGTTTATCTTAATAATATTATTCTTTCTGAACCAAGTTACTTTAGTATTTATTCAATTATAAAGTGACTAATGTGCATATAGCAATGGTTTATAACAATACTAAAACACCCAATTCACATTGTTAATTTTACTACTAAGTATTTGTTGCTGTGTGTATTTTATTGCCCTTTTTCATGTATATCACAGTTGGAATAGAATGGAGAGAGGCAGCATAGCATATTGGTTAAAAGTATGTACTCCTATATCTCAAGTGTTAATGTCTTAAAATTACATCTTGAAAAAAATATATATGCATATATATATTTAGATGGAGTCTCGCTCTTTTGCCCAGGCTAGAGTGCAGTGGCAGGATCTTGGCTCACTGCAACCTCCTCTTCCTGGTTTCAAGCGATTCTCCTGCCTCAGCCTCCCGAGTAGCTAAGATCACAGGCACCTGCCACCATGCCCAGCTAATTTTTGTATTTTTAGTAGAGACAGGGTTTTACCACGTTGGCCAGGGCTGGTCTTGAACTCCTGACCTTAGGTGGTCTGCCGACCTCGGTCTCCCAAAGTGCTGGGATTACAGGCATGAGCCATTGTGCCCAGCCTTGAATATATTTTTATATTATATTCCAGGGTGATTGTTACATTGAAAATAATATTTACATTTTTCTTTTTTTTTACTGAAATAAGTGGCAAATAAATTAGTTTCATTTTCTTTCTTTCTTTTTTTTTTTTTAAGACAGAGTTTCACTCTTGTTGCCCAGGCTGGAGTGCAATGGCGTGATCTTGGCTCACTGCAACCTCCACCTCCTGGGTTCAAGCAATTCTCCTGCCTCAGCCTCCTGAGTAGCTGGGATTACAGCTGCCTGCCACCACACCTGGCTAATTTTTCTATCTTTAGCAGAGACGGGGTTTCACCAGGTTGTCCAAGCTGGACTTGAACTCCTGACCTGAGGTGATCTGCTGGCCTCGGCCTCCCGAAGTGCTGGGATTACAGGCATGAGCCACTGTGCCTGGCCCTAGTTTCATTTTCAAATGTTCATATGATTGATTTCCAAACATTAAGACTTGGTTGGAGGAATGGCTGGCAGTGTGAAATGTTAGGAAAAAGACCCACTGATTTTTGAAGTCACAAAGAATAGGGGTTCAAATTCACATTCAGCTCTACCACATAATAAAGCAATTTCTATACCCATAGAATTGATGTGAGCATGAAATAGAGTAACATGCACAGTACCTGGACCAGTGCCTCTGCTACTCAATAAATGGTAGTTTCAGCTACTATAATGGCCTCTTATACCTTATTGATATCTTTATCATTATAACTATCACATTGTATCATAAACATTTGTTTCTGGATATGACTTTTAGAGGACTGTGTGTTCCTTTAAGGCAAGACTATTGTGTCTTTATCTATCTTTGTATTTCTCCTGCAGAGGTTGCAAACTGGCAACCACAAGATTATTTTATTTGCAACCAGTTTGGGTCCCAGCATGTTTTAAATGTGCACTGGTTGCCAACATTTAAAAGTTAGGAGGTTTCACATTTAAAATAAAATGAAACAGGATTCCTGACTTCTGGCTTCTTGCAAAGAATCAGAAAATCCTGGTAATGCTGAACCCTACATTTTCTATAACAGCAATCAGCTAGTCTGGAGCAGCATCTGCCTCTTTGGATAGGCAATGCTCTCTAATTTGCCATCGTCCCTAACATTCCAATATTGTATCCTCGAAACAAAGGCTGAATGCCATTTGCCCATCACATTTCATTCATTTGTGTTACTTACTGGGCGGCTCTTGAAATTTGCATTTTCGACTGCTGCTCTAGTGACTGCCAGAGAGTCTGGAACTCAAGGAAGCACTCAATAAATGTTTGTTGAAAGGAAGAAAGAAGAAACATTAATATATGCACACAGAGAAAATTTACCAGATTTACTTGAAAATGTACAAGGTCTGGCTGGGCGCTGTGGCTCACGCCTGTAATCCCAGTGCTTTGGGAGGCCAAGCGGGCAGATCACCTGAGGTCAGGAGTTTGAGACCAGCCTGGCCAACATGGCGAAACCCTGTCTCTACTAAAAATACAAAAATTAGCCAGGTATGGTGGTGGGCACTTGTAATCCCTGCTACTTGGGAGGCTGAGACAGGAGAATTGGTTGAACCCAGGAGGCGGAGGTTGCAGTTAGCCAAGATCGCGCCACTGCACTCCAGCCTGGGCAACAAAGAGCGAAACTGCATCTCAAAATAAAATAAAATAAAATAAAATAAAATAAAATAAAATAAAATAGTACAAGGTGACAGGGGTTTAGCATTGCTCTAGCAATAGCTGTTCTCATCTTTTCTTTTTCAATATAGAGTATGAAGCATGAGTGATAATGTTGGGGAATTGAGAGAATGATGCTCTGAAATAAGTGACTTTCATTGGCTATGATTGCCAGGCTGTGACAATTTTCAAGGATAGACAACCTCAAATTTACTTATTACTGTCATAATGCAGTAAAACACGCCAAAAAATAAAATATGATCAAATGCAGTTACCGTTTATTTTGGACTGCATGACAATATTCACTTGCACAAAACCATATAAACAACACCCACCTGTGTTTGAAGGCAAGGTATCTTTGATCAGAATCTCTGAAATATCCCTTTGAGTTAGCTATCACTATAGCAAACTTTATTAATTTGTACCTGACAGTAATTTAGGATTTATGATTATTTAGTTGAACTAAAGCATAAATATATGAAGGAAGAGTTAGCCAAGTAAGTGAATAGTGTGAGTAACAATTTCTTTGGCAAGGAGTGAGGGGAGGGGATGATCTACAGAAAAAGAACAGAGTTTTCCAGTTTCAGTTTTTAGGGATGTGTCATGGTACAATAAAAAAAAAAAATTGCCTTGGGGCCCGGAGCAATGGCTCACGCCTGTAATCCCAGCACTTTGGGAGGCCCAAGTGGGTGGATCAGGAGGTCAGGAGTTCGAGACCAACCTGACCAACATGGTGAAACCCCGTCTCTACTAAAAATACAGAAAAATTAGCTGGGTGTGGTGGCGGACGCCTGTAACCCCAGCTACTTGGGAGGCTGAGGCAGGAGAATCACTTGCACCTGGCTGGCGGAGGTTGCAGTGAGCCGAGATCATGCCACTGCACTCCAGCCTGGGTGACAGAGCAAGACTCCATGTCAAAAAAAAAAAAGCCTCAGAGTCACATAGATTTCCTTTTGAATTCTGCTTCTGCTACTTACTTTGGAGAGTTTGGGACCCTCAGTTTATTTTTTAAAGAGAGAATAAAAGCTGCATTGAACTTGATGATGGTATTAGAGAATATATATGTAATGTATATATGTTACTTGATATTAAGTTTTAGAGAATATATCTGTAGTGTATATGTGTAATGGATATATGAATATACCTAACAGAGCCTTTGCATTTTATGTTTTCTCTATCTGGAACACCCTTGGAAGTTATACCTTCTTCTTCAGATTTCAACCCATCTAAAATAAAGAATGACTGTCAAGAGTCTCTTATCACCCATCACAGCACGTATCTAACTCTGAAATTTATGAATTTATATATTCACTTAGTTCTTTTTGTTTCCTTCCGCCCTCACTCTCCCTTACCACCATGAGCATACTATAGAGTGAATATAAGTTCCATGAACACAGAAGCTTTGTCTCTTTTAGTCACTACTACAAAATAATACCTTCCTGCTATTAGGTACTCAGTATGTATTTTTTGCCTGCTGCACAACGGAATGGATGCTCATGAATTATTAGCACTCAGTGTACTTGTTAAACTTAGGTTTATCAGTTGCTTATACATCCATTGGGAAATTATTCTAGTCCTTTATTAGCAATACATTATGCATTTTCTTTTTTCTTTTCTTTTTTTTTTTTGAGACAGAGTCTCGCTCTGTTCCCAGGCTGGAGTGCAGTGGCACGATCTTGGCTCACTGCAACCTCTGCCTCCCGGGTTCAAGCAATTCTCCTGCCTCAGCCTCCTGAGTAGCTGGGATTACAGGTATGCACCACAACACCTGGCTAATTTTTGTATTTTTAGTAGATACGGTGTTTCACCATGTTGGTCAGGCTGGTCTCGAACTCTGGACCTCAGGTAATCCACCTGCTTCAGCCTCCCAATGTGCTGGGATTATAGGCATAAGCCACTGTGCACGGCCATTCTAAAATTTTTGTATTTTGTAGAGACACGGTTTTGCCATGTTGCCCAGGCTGGTCTGGAACTCCTAAACTCAAGTGATCCACCCACCTCAGCCCCTAGAGTGCTGAGATTCCAGGCATGAACCACTGCACCCTGCCTCAGACTACTTTAAAATAACATTATTAAAAACAATAAAAGTATAATTTTGAAGAATTAATTTAACTGCAGTATTTCTGCCTTTTATAGTTCAAGGACTATAATGAAATAAGAATGAAGTGAAGCATGTAAGTATCTAGTTTATCAATAGTCTGTTTTTATGTTGCTCTATATTTTCTACTTTCTTAAGTAGTATCAATATATTGTCCAATAGGGTCACTACTAGCTGTGAGTGGCAATTTAAACTTAAATTGCTGGCCAGGCGCCGTGGCTCACGCCTATAATCCCAGCACTTTGGTAGGTCGAGGTAGGCAGATTGTTTGAATCCAGGAGTTCGAGACCAGCCTGCGCAACATGGCGAAATCCCATTGCTACAAAAAACAAAAAAAATACAAAAATTAGCTGGGTGATACCCTGTCCCTCCCCCATCCCACCTCCAGCTGCTCCAAATGTTAATAAATCCATCTCAAAAAATCAAAACAAAACAAAACAAAACTGGCTGGGGCGCGGTGGCTCACGCCTGTAATCCCAGCACTTTGGGAAGCTGAGGCGGGTGGATCACAAGGTCAGGAGTTCAAGACCAGCCTGGCCAAGATAAACCCCGTCTCTACTAAAAATACAAAAAAATTAGCTGGGCATGGTGGCAGGTGCCTGTAATCCCAGCTACTTGGGAGGCTGAGGCAGAGAATTCCTTGAACCGGGGAGGCAGAGGTTGCAGTGAGCTGAGATCGCGCCACTGTACTCCAGCCTGGGTGACAGAGCAAGACTCCGTCTCAAAAAATAAATAAATAAGTAAATAAATAATAAAAAAAAAAAAAAGAAAGACCACCCTGGACAACATAGTGAGACCTTTTCTCTACAAAAAAATATGTAAAAATTAGGTGGCATGTACCTGTCCTACCTACTCAGGAGGCTGAGGCAGGAGGATCAGATGAATCCAGGAGTTTGAGGTTGCAGTGACTTTGATCTTGCCACTGCACTCCAGTCTGGGTGACACAGCCAGACCCTGTCTCTAAAAGTAAATAATAAAATTTAATATGTTCATGGCACCACTGCACTCCAGCCTGGGCGACAGAGTAAGATTCTGTCTCAAAAAAAAAAAAAAATTAAAATGTTCAGTAGGTACTTAATGAATCGATAAGGTATTGAATCTGAGACTGGTAGTGATTGTAATATCCATTACACCTGCTGCTAACCTACTACGTGAATACATTAAGGATCTTGACCCAAAAAAAGGGATTAAGTTTGAATCCTCACCCTCTTAAATAAAAAACTGCCAGGTATATAGTTAACATTATCTATTACAGTAACATCTAATTCAATGTAATCATGCTCAAGCAATCGTTTTGTGAATGTATGGATTGATGAAAATTAGATCCTAGGTTGCATCATGTGGCAGCTATGGAAGTCAAACTTTACCTTTTTTTTTTTTTTGAGACGGAGTCTTGCTCTGTTGCCCAGGCTGGAGTGCAGTGGCATGATCTTGTTTCACTGTAACCTCCACCTCCCGGTTTCAAGTGATTCTCCTGCCTCAGACTCCCGAGTAACTGGGATTACAGGTTCGTACCAACATGCCTGGCTAAATTTTGTATTTTTAGTAGAGATGAGGTTTCACAGTGTTGGCCAGGCTGATCGTGATCTCCTGACCTCCAGTGATCTGCCTGCCTCAGCCTCCCAAAGTGCTGGGATTACAGGCATGAGCCACTGTGCCCGGCCTTCAAACTTACATTTTTAACTAAGAATGTTTAGACTATTTGATGATTATAAATATAGCCCATTATTTCCTTTTTTTTCAAATAAGGTATTATTTACATACATTCTATATATATTCTATCTCCCTTCAATTTTGAAATACTCAAGCATATGGTTTCTATTGATACTTATCAAGCTACTTTATTTATTTATGTATTTGAGGCAGTCTTACTCTGTCACCCAGGCTGGAATGCAGTGGTGGGATCTCAGCTCACTGCATCTTTCACCTCCTGGGCTCAAGTAATTTCCCTGCCTCAGCCTCCCAAGTAGCTGGGACTACAGACATGCATCACCACACCTGGCTAATTTTTGTATTTTATAGAGACGGGGTTTTGCCATGTTGCCCAGGCTGGTCTGGAACTCCTAAACTCAAGTGATCCACCCACCTCAGCCCCCAGAGTGCTGAGATTCCAGGCATGAACCTGAGAATCCAGGCACCCTGCCTCAGACTACTTTAAAATAACATTATTAAAAATAATAAAAGTATAATTTTGAAGAATTAATTTAACTGCAGTATTTCTACCTTTATAGTTCAAGGACTATAATGAAATAAGAATGAAGTGAAGCATGTTTAAGTATCTAGTTTATCAATAGTCTGTTTTTATGTTGCTCTATATTTTCTACTTTCTTAAGTAATATCAATATATTGTCCAATAGGGTCACTACTAGCTGTGAGTGGCAATTTAAACTTAAATTGCTGGCCAGGCGCCGTGGCTCACACCTGTAATCCCAGCACTTTGGGAGGTGCAGGTAGGCAGATTGTTTGAATCCAGGAGTTCGAGACCAGCCTGCACAACATGGCGAAATCCCATCGCTACAAAAAACAAACAAACAAAAAAATACAAAAATTAGCTGGGTGATACTCTGTCCCTCCCCTATCTCACCCCCGGCTGCTCCAAATATAAATAAATAAACTTAAAACATTTTTTTAAAGTTTAATTTTTTTTTTTTTTTTTTTTCTTTTTGAGACGGAGTTTTGCTCTTGTTGCCCAGGCTGGAGTGCAATGGCGCAATCTCGGCTCACCGCAACCTCCACCTCCCTTGTTCAAGCGATTCTCCTCCCTCAGCCTCCCAAGTAGCTGGGATTACAGGCATGCGCCACCACGCCTGGCTTATTTTGTATTTTTATTAGAGACGAGGTTTCTGCATGTTGGTCAGGCTGGTCTCGAACTCCCGACCTCAAGTGATCCGCCCGCCTTGGCCTCCCAAAGTGCTGGGATTACAGGCGTGAGCCACTGCGCCCAGCCTAAAGTTTAAAATTTTATGCCTCAGGCAGACAAGCTACATTTCAAGTGCTCAGTAGCCATATGTGGTTAATGGCCACTATATTGGACAGCACAAAGAACATTTTTATCTTCATAGAAAATTCTGTTTGCTCTTATAGATTATTACATACACAATTACTTATCCTTTATTTTGCTACATTGTCATTACAGTTTTTGTTTGTAATTTGATAATGCAGTTTCATATGTCCTAGAAATACTAACTTTTGCTTTCTTGAAATCTTATTTTCCCCCAATTTTTTTTATCAACTATATGTTTAAATCAACATTTTTTTCCTTTGTTGTTCCATTAAGATAGTCAACATCTGACAATTTTTACCTTAAAACTTTTAAGTTCTGTGATCAATACAGTCAAAGTAATGCCTCTAGGTATTATTCATTTTTAAGACAACACAGTCTATGACAGTGTCTCTCCATGTGCCTTTTTTACCATGTACAGTGAAAAACTACTTATTAAATGGTGATTTTCCCCCCTTTATCTTATTAAGTAAATTATATGGTCTTTTTTTTTATGGAAGCCTCCATAGTTAGAGATGTAAAACAGCAATTTCTTGGTTCTATAGCATGACATAGTTCAGAGCTGAGATTAGAGAAACCCCGTAGAGTTGTTAATACTTGAGGGCATCCCCAACTAGAAAAGTATGTGAATTTAGGCATGGGAGGAAGGAAGGATCTGCTTTAAATTTAGTGTAGGGTCACTGAGTCTTAATGATAGATTAAACAAGGGAGGTAGAATAATGAATAGGGGTATACTGTGTGTAGCACTAATACCAGAAGTCCATGGTTTGTGGCGGTTTTTTAATGTCCTTTCCCATATGGTTTTGAATAGAGCAGGTTATGGCAGGGATGAGCTAAGGAATAGCTTTGTTAATGGATAAATAGGAGTAATTTTTTAACAGGAGACTTCAGGCAGTTTATTCAGAATGCCTCCTTATTTAATGAATCATGTGGTTAAATTTTTTTTCCTGATCTTAATAATACATTAAGTGGGATTGCTAAGGTATTCCTGGTATTTTCTTTCTAAAATAGCTATATCTACATTTCAGAGCCAGCCCTAACAGTGAATCCTTGGGTTGGGTTTTACTTTCTTAATTAAAGGCCAGTCGTATGGAGCTTTTGAGCATTGGCAGCATCAGTCCTTAGGGTTTGGTGTGCAGTAGTAGACTTTCTTTCATAGTGTCAATTCATTTGATACGATTTAATTAAATTGTCATTTGGAGCCAGTTTCCAACTCTACTGTATTCACCTAAACTTAACTAGGTGTGTAATTTTGGTGACTTTACTCTTATAACTTTGCTCATGGCCAAGGCAGCTACTTTTCTTAAGATAGGCTTTCTGCCCTCCTGCCTACAAATCTCTGAGAGTAATGCTGAAAGCTGATCTTGCAAAGTAGCAAGTTAGACTCAGATAACCTGACCAGACACACTTTTAAGTATCTCTCAGGGCTGTTCTTTGGAGGAGCTTACTTAATATTTCCTAAAGGAGAGGTTAAGTAGGTTGTCTTTGGTGCGTTAGTTATGCAGAGAGAAGAGAAATGTAACTCTCCTGACTCCAGGGCCCCAAATGCAAACACTGGCCTAGTTGTTCCCAAACTTTCTTCTTGATGTGGATGACTTGAATGGTTTATTTTCACTTGATGAGCCACACCCCCAGGCCACTTTAGTATTCATGGCAGACCCCAACACTAAGTCCCTTTGTTGTCTTTGTTTTTTGCATTTTTTTGTTAACTAGAAAAGATAAAATTATGAGAGACCTGATTATAGACTGAGGTTCTGTTGCTGATGGTTCCCACCACTTTTTTCACATCTCAGAGAAAGGCAAAGGCCTGGATGGGCAACAGAAAACAGCAAAGCAAACATAAACATCACATCACGTCTGAGCATCAGCGTGGTGCTACCAGAGTGGGAAGGGATATAGTCATTATCAAAATATAAAGATGGTTCTTTGCCAAAAGCATTAACATTGTCAGCATTTTAAAAAGTTTGAAGCTTGCTGTAGAAGCAATGGTCTTTTCTTCAAGGAAAAAAAATCTTTTTTCTTGAAGAAAAGGAAAATGGATTAAGAATTTTAAAAATCCGCATTATTGTTCTGACCTAGACATTAACTAAGTGAATGACATTTAGGCAAGTAGCTTAATTTGTCTGTGTTTGCGCATGTGTGCACTTGTGTTTTTTAAATCACATGAAATAAAAAGGAAGTGCAATTCTATAAAAAACAAGTGGGCAGAGTAGATTAATGGCACTGTTTTACATTGTCTTCCTTATAGACGCAGTTTTAGTTTAGAACTTACAAAGGTTACAAATAAGACACAGCTGTTTCTGATAAGAGTTTCACTTGTCCAGATCAAAAGCATAGAAGAGGAGTTGGCAAGAGTGCCCAACTGTGGAGAGAGAGAAAACTAGAATAACAGGATAGGGCATAATTGATTTACTGTCCATTGGCCAAGTAGAAGTAGCAGGCCCATAGTGTGAATATCTTCATATTCTTTTATTCCAGCTAAAATCCTTACTAATGTAAGGGGTGAAGGAGACTCAGAAGGCATTGGCCAAAAGTGTATAAGAGGAAGAGCCTTGGTAACTCTCATGATAAAGTTTAACTATTTTTATATGCTCTTCTCCTTTTTCCTTGATTTATTTTCCTTGGAAATTTTTTATCTTGCCATCTTTCTCAGATGTGTGTGACACCAGGAACTCTGCCCCCTTTCTGTGAAGCATTCAATTGTTGAAACAATAACAAGTTGCTATTTGTTCTGGCAGTTGTTCTTCCTCTACAGCACTTAAAAGTACAAAGTGGACAGACTGTAACTGCATTATCCATTGCAGCACAGCAGCTGTGGAAAGGCTCATTTGCTCTCATAAGAGGGGCTTTGCCCATAGTTGATCACATGTTACTAGTTTTTGTTGTTGTTGTTGTTGTTTTGAGATGGAGTCTCACTCTGTCACCCAGACTGTAGTGCAGTGTGGTGTGGCCTCGTCTCACTGCAACCTCTGCCTCCTGGGTTCAAGCGATTCTCCTGCCTCAGCCTCCCGAGTAGCTGGGATTACAGATGTGTGCCACCATGCCTGGCTAAGTTTTGTATTTTTAGTAGAGATGGAGTTTCACCATGTTGGCCAGGCTGGTCTCAAACTTCTGACCTCAGGTGATCCGCCCACCTCAGCCTCCCAAAGTGTTGGGATTACAGGCGTGAGCCACTGCACCCCACCCACTTGTTACTACTTAATGACCACTGTTTAGAATTAAGTGCAAATGGTTTCATAGAAGATTCATACACGTTACAATTATAAAAGTGTCCGGTAGCTGGGCACAGTGGCTTACAACCTGTAATCCCAGCACTTTGAGGGGGCTGAGGTGGGAGGATTGCTTGAGTCCAGGGGTTTGAGACCAGCCTGGGCAAAATAATGATACCTCCTCTCTACAAAAAGTTTAAAAATTACCCAGGTGTGGTGGTATGCATCTGTAGTCACTCAGAAGGCTGAGTTGGGAGGATCTTATCAGCCCAGGAGATCCAGGCTGCAGTGAGCTGTGATGGCCCTACTTCACTCCAACTGGGTGACAGAGTAAGACACTGTCTCAACACAAAAAAAGTGTCCAGCCGGGCGCGGTTGCTTATGCCTGTAATCCCAGCAATTTGGGAGGCCAAGGCGGGCAGATCACCTGGTCTTTTTTTTTTTTTTGATCTGGGCTCACTGCAACCTCTGCCTCCCAGGTTCAAGCAATTCTTGTGTCTCACCTCCTGAGTAGCTGGGATTACAGGATGCACCACCACGCCTAGCTAATTTTTGTATTTTTAGTGGAGACAGGGTTTCACCATGTTGGCCAGACTGGTGTTGAACTTCTGACCTCAAGGGATCCGCCCACCTTGACCTCCCAAAATATTGGGATTACAGGTGTGATCCTCTGCACCTGGCCTGATCTTTTTTCTGTGCATACATATGGTATGCATACATATGTACCTATACTTATACAGACATAACTTAAACAGAGATGCATATTATTTTGTAACCTGGTTTTTAAAAAGATCACGTAACAACTTTTTATATAACCAAATATTCTTCCATATTAGGGGTCAGCAAATTTTTTTCTGGGAAGAGACAGATAATTCCTATTTTGGGCTTTTTAGGCCATGCAGTCTCTGTTACATGTACTCAACTCTGCTATCTTGGTAGTGCAAAAACAGCCAGAGAAAATATGTAAACAAATGGATGTGGCTGTGTTCCAGTGTAACTTTATGGACAGAAACAGACAGTAGACTGGATTTGACCTCTGGGCTCTGCTTTGCTGATGCTGGTTCATCACTTTAATAACCGCACAGTATTTTATTTATTTAACTGTTACATTATTGGATATTAGATTATGCCAATTTTGTGTTTTGATATGATTTTGTGTGATGATAAACAAGGCTGCAATGAATATCCTTGTAGCGAAATATTTGGTTACAGGTATGATTATGTCTTTAAGATTAACTAGTATATTGCTTCTGACATTGTATCAGATTGACTACTAAAATTCAGATTTAAAAATCAAAACATTTCAGGTCCACAGTATTTCTTGATTCATGTGTCCAATCTTTAAAGTGTTATATAAAATTGAATTTCACAAAATGGTGTTAGGTTAAAGTAAAATTCCTAAAAATGTTTCTATAATTGTTCCAGTTATTTCTAAAATTGACTGGGCTTAATTGGTGTTTTCCTTCCTGGAAAGAATTATAAATTGATTAATTTACTTGATTTTTAAATGAGATTTTAAGAGCTTTTATTGAGTGATTGTAATTTTATTTATTGCAGGCTGTAAGAAACATTTTTTTCATATTATTTACTAAGCCATTAAATAATTGGAAAAGTATTGTTCCCTCACTGTTTCCATAAAGTGTACAGAGGAAATATTGCCCTTCGTGACAAGGTCTTGTCTGACTGTTAGGAAACTAACCTATTTCTTTTGGGCCTTGTTTCAGCTAGCCTACGATAGGAAAACATAACCTGTTTGTTTGTTTGTTTGTTTGTTTGTTTATTTGAGACGGAGTCTCGCTCTGTCGCCCAGTCTGGAGTGCAGTAGCGCGATCTCGACTCTCTGCAAGCTCCGCCTCCTGGGTTCACGCTATTCTCCCACCTCAGCCTCCTGAGTAGCTGGGACTACAGGCGCCCGCCACCATGCCTGGCTAATTTTGTTTTTGTATTTTTAGTAGAGACAGGTTTTCACCGTGTTAGCCAGGATGGTCTCGATCTGCTGACCTCGTGATCCACCCACCTTGGCCTCCCAGCGTGCTGGGATTACAGGCATGAGCCACCGCCCCCAGCCTTCTGTTTAGTTGTTTTATATGGCTCAAACATAGTTCTCTAGTGGTTAGGGACATTTCTTCAGTTTATCTGACATATATAGATATCTTCCAAGTTTATTTAGTGAGACCAATAGGTCATTTATTGTGAGTTTGCAGGTTTACTGCAAGTTCCAAATATGTATTATGACCAGGAAGCAGTCACACTTAAGCTTGAGACAGAAAAACTAAAGATTGGCCGGGCACAGTGGCTCATGCCTGTAATCCCAGCACTTTGGGAAGCTGAGGTGGGCGGATCACGAGGTCAAGAGATCGAGACCATCCTGGCCAACATGGTGAAACCTCGTCTCTACTAAAAACACAAAAATTAGCTGGGCATGGTGGCACATTCCTGTAATCCCAGCTTCTCGGGAGGCTGAGGCAGGAGAATTGCTTGAACCCCGGAGGCAGAAGTTGCAGTGAGCCAAGATCGCGTCACTACACTCCAGCCTGGTGACAGAGCGAGACTCTGTCTAAAAAAAAAAAAAAAAAAAGATTAACAGATTTTCAATTAGCAGAAATTTAGATTAAACTGAGAATGCAATGAAGTCTGTAGTAAAGAGGTAGTATCTTCTCTCATTAATTTCTTAGGCTAATAAAATCACATCATCCAAATGAAATTGCAACATTTTTAGAATTTCTGTAACAAATGATTATTAATTATATTTATTCTCAAAAGTGACTGGCCACCTTAGGCAGAGTTCAAAGAATTTTAGTATCAGTAAACTTGAGAGGCATGGCTCTCTGGAAGAGCCTATATATTATTTGCACATTCTAAAGCGGTGCTTCTGGCCGGGCGCGGTGGCTCACGCCAGTAATCCTAGCACTTTGGGAGGCCAGGGTGGGTGGATCACGAGGTCAGGAGTTCGAGACCAGCCTGGCCAATACGGTGAAACCCTGTCTCTACTAAAAAAATACAAAAATTAGCCGGGTGTGGTGGCATGTGCCTGTGGTCCCAGGTAGTTGGGAGGCTGAGGCAGAAGAATCGCTTGAACCTGGGAGGCGGAGGTTGCAGTGAGCTGAGATTGTGCCATTGCACTCCAGCCTGGACTCTGTCTCAAAAAAAAAAAAAAAAAATTGAAATTAAAATTTAAAAAAAAGCAATGCTTCTTAAAATTTATCTTGGTAAGAGTTATCTAAAGAGCTTATTAAAACAGAGATTGCTGGGCACTCAGAGTGTTCTATACACTAGGTCTGTGGTGGGGCCCATGAATTTGCATTTCTGATAGTTTCCAGGTGATACTAATACCTGGTCCAGCCACCCTCTTTAAGAACCACTGTTGTAGAAAAATAATTAACCTTTTTTTTCAGTTATAATCCCTGCAACTTCACAGTTTCTATAAACTTGTGTTTTTCAGAAAGCTTCTAAAATTTAGCTTCTTTTTAATTTGTGAAATATGTTTAGCTTTTCTCATCTATAAACATTTTCTTAGCACTTTAGGAATTGTCTTTTATCGTAAAATCCAGGTTTGACCTTTTACTAAAGATACAAATTCATGGCTGGGTGGTGGCTTACGCCTGTAATCCCAGCACTTCGGGAGGCCAAGGCGGGCGGATCACGAGGTCAGGAGATGGAGACCATCCTGTGAATGGTGAAACCCCATCTCTACTAAAAATACAAAAAATTAGCCGGGCGCGCTAGTGGGTGCCTGCAGTCCCAGCTACTCGGGAGGCTGAGGCAGGAGAATGACGTGAACCCGGGAGGCGGCGCTAGCAGCAGTGAGCCAAGATCCCGCCGCTGCACTCCAGCCTGGGCGCGACAGAGGGAGACTCCGTCTCAAAAAAAAAAAAAAAAAAAAAAAAAAAAAAGATACAAATTCATTTTAATAAATGTGTGATTATTAGTTGTTACTTTAAATAATATCTAACTTTGCAATTGTCAAGTTGCTTTCACCCACATCAGACTTTTAGTATAGGAAATTATCAACATAACCATGTTACCCATGGAAGTGTTAAATCTTATGCTGGGTAGTGTTTCAGGATGGCCAAAATCCGTCTCCAACTTAATATATTTAAATTAGTTTACATATTTGATTAACTTTACTATCATCATCCTAGTAATCTCTTAGAAAGGCAATTGTCAAATTTCTTTATAGCCAAGTAAGAGTTGAAATAAGTTTTTAAAGTATGGTACAAAGCAAAACTAAGTTACAGTTATTAGAATGAAGAATTCATTTAGAGGCAAAAGATTTTTTAAAACTGCAGAATCCAGTCAGTTCAAAGCCTGATTGAAAGCAACTTCAATTTTATAGATTTCTTGAAACAGATCTTCATTGTTTTCTGGAAAGATAGTATTTGAGAAAAAGAAATGTCTCCAGTTACTGTTTTTATGAGGAGAGAATAGCTTGGTCTTTTTAATGGTTAATGAGAAGAAGTAATAGTTAAACACTTAGAGCATTGATTTCTGATTTGAATTCTCCAACACAGGCCAGCCCTGGGGGAAGGGGGAAGAAAAAAAAAGCTTGCTAATTAACATTTGATTACTGATGCCACCTTCTCATTCCCCTTGCACCATCCGGTTTCAAGCGTTTTTTGTTCAGAAAGGATTTTAAGGAGGGTTTTAACTTGCATCTTAGTAAAACAAATCCATGTGCAACTGCAACGTGTATACAATACTTTTAAAAACAAGAGGAAAAGAAGGCCTTAGGTATGAAGTATGTGTTCAGAACGCATTCTGAATCACTTCTGATTCAGAAGTGACTGCTTTCTTAACTATAAGCCTTTCAGAGTGCCAGTGATTGCTAGGATACTGGAATTAAGCCTAGTTTGTATGCCTTATTTTGATTTAAACACACACACATACAAATACTTATTTGCTCAATGCAGTTATTTAACAAACTCTTAACCAGAACATCTGATAATGCGATGCACTGGGAGCTTAAGTTTGATATATTTAAAATTCGGTCTAAGCTCAGGTTTTCATATGACCAGAGTCCTTTTTCTTCTAAGAATGATAAAAGAATGAGATGGATGGCTGTAGTTTCAGGGTACTTTTTTGTAAGGGCTGTACTATGATGTGCGATAGTATCTTAATTCAGAAAATCTAGAAACTAAAGCACTGATTACTGAACATTTTGTTTTTGTATTTTGCCATATCAAAATGTTTGATATGTGAAGAATCGTGGGCCAGATTTCAAAAAATTTTAAATGTTGAGATAAATTAATAAAACTTGAAAACTATATCACAGTAGCGTTCTGGCAAAATCATATAACCACTTTGATGACATTAGATTGATAGAATAGTTTTCTGGGAAACCAGTGTGACAGGCTTTATTTTTAAATGAGATCTCATAAGGGGAAAATATTAGTGTTTTTTAAAAAGTATAATAAAAGTAAATGCCAAATCTCATGCAAAAAAAAGTACTAAAATGCTTATTATCTTTATTTCTCATGTGAAATTATTTGCCATTTTTCTTTTTGATGTCTGTTATATTTTTTTCTATTGTTTCTCCATTTTGTAGCATTAATAGTTTTAAATTTTCTCTCATTACTTCCTTGTCTTGTATATGTTTAGCACCTCTTTTCCTGTACCTAGGATTAACTCCAGTATTTTCACGAAATAATAACATTTTGGAGCTTTGAAAATCAGAAACGATCATGTTTTATTCTCTTCTAAGGTGGAGTACATGAGGTCTCAGAATGGCTCCACCAATTTTCCCACAGTAACAGTTGAGCAGAACTAGGATTAGAAATCTAGTTCTCTGGCTGGGTAAGGTAGCTCGCCTGTAATTCCAGCACTTTGGGAGGCTAAGGTGGGCAGATCACAAGGTCAGGAGCTCGAGACTAGCCTGGCCAACATGGTGAAACCCCGTCTCTACTAAAAATACAAAAATTAGCCAGGTGTGGTGGCACACTCCTGTAATCCCAGCTACTCAGGAGGCTGAGGCAGGAGAATCGCTTGAATCCAGGAGGTGGAGGTTGCAGTAAGCCGAGAACCTACTGCACTCTGGCCTGGGCGACAGAGCAAGACTGTCTTGGGAAAAAAAAAAAAAGAAAGAAATCTAGTTCTCTGCCTCGAGGTATGCCGCAACACCTTAAACTTTGTGACTTTTTTATTAGTTTGCTTTCACGAGAATAATACCTGAATGACATTTAAAATTCCCTAAAAGTTTTTCAATAGTTTGATAGATATTTAGCTCACAAGGAATGGTTTTATTATAACTGAGAATGTTATCTACTGAATTTTATATTTTTCAATATAAAAATAGTTTAGAACAACTCATTTGAGGCTAATCTGAGCTTCATGGTTTAGCCTTTAGCAGAGCAACTTTTCCTAAGAATTACTTTCCTAAGAAATTCTGATGAAATTTAACTAAAAAATAAAACTGTTTGAAAATTTAAATGAATCAAAAGAAAAGTTTGTGGGAGATGAATATGTTATGAAGGTACTTTTATAATTTTATATTGAGTAGCTTATAATGAAATGATCTTTCCCCCAGTGCTGTGTTTAGCGTTGAAATTCCCACAGACATTGAGGAAGTATGAAGTTTGAAGTAGAGATTATTACTTAGTTTTTCACATTAATTATAGTATATAAACAGGTGTTTATTAGCAATGACAAATAAGGAAACAAATCAGTACCATATTAATTCTATACTATTAAAAATTAACCTGATTTATATATTTTCTCAGTTGCAAACGATTGTCTTATCTGAAACGATATGGAAGAAATTAAACTATACCTTTAGAAAATCTTGAATGCAAATTAGAAAATCTGTTGTCAATCTAGAACTCTAGATCCAAATACAGTATAGTTTGTAATGTAAGTTTAATGTTCAGCTGGTAATCAAAGCATTTATTAAATTCCTCCTGAACTAATTGAAACATTTGCATGTAAAACAAGAATTGAAAAGATCATGAAGGTTCAGCATGATCTTGAGCCAATGCTGATCAAAAAAAAAATGTGTAAGACAAAAAGGCCCTTAGGAAATGTTACCCTGTGAAGTGCCACTTGTCCTTAACTGGAATTTAACATACTCTAAAGATGAAACTCCGTCAGAAGCAACACAATATTGGCAGCTGGGCATGCCAGCCACTGCACCCCAGCCTGTGCGTGTGTTCTTTTTACTTCTCTAAAGTGCTCTCAAGTCCCAAATCAATCAGTGTCCTTCCCCCTCTCTTTCTCACTTCCCTCTCTTCTTTCTTTCCCTATCATCTATTTCTCCCTATCTCTTTACCCTCCATCTTCCTCTCTTCTCTTTCCTCCTTTTCCCTTTTCCCCTTCTTCTCCCTTTCCCTTCCCCCTCCCTCTTTCTTCCTCATATTTCTTCATCTTCCCTCCTTCTCTGAAAGAACTGTGTCCTTCATCTGATCCATGATGACTTTAAATTCATCTGTATCATTTTATACAAAGCTGTATTTTATCATTGAGGTTTCCTAGAATACTAACTTTTTTCAGAATCGTTTTTATGTTTTGTGTACATTTTGGATTTTTTTCTTCCCTGCAGGATTATGATTTCAATTTTTTATTAAATATAACCATCAATAAAGAAAATGGAATTGTAATCTATTAGTAAAATCCCCACTCTTTTGATGCTTTTGCTATCTTATCACTTGTGCTTCATCCATATACTGGTAACATCTACGTATGGTAACAGCATTGGTATGCATGGAATTATTTTTGAAAAACACTAAATTGTTGTTTAGTGATTGTGGTTCAACATAAGATTCTTTTAGTTTAAACTCAGAATACTCTGTGAATTTAGCCTTTGCATTGGAACAATCAAACATTAGCCTAATATGCTTTACATGGGACTCTCTCAGCCAAGTTCTGTCTGCATTAGCCAGTTTATTCTATGACAAGTTGCTTAACAGATGTCATTCTGGGGAGAACAATGAAGCCAAATACTTGTGCAATGGCTAACATTACTCTGACTTTGATCACTTTTGTTCAGCACATCAGTCTGGCGTTGTGCTTAATACCAACATAACACTATAGCCAGGACATGCTTTTCAGGCTTAGAATAGCAAAGGAATGTTATTCAATTCAGTGCAGTTACAGATGAGTTAATGAAAAAAGAAAATACTGTTTATTTCATAATACTTTATTGTTGTATTTTGGAATTAAGGTGGAATTCAAAGAATCCCACTCCAAAGTTATTTGTTTGTATACTTATAGTATTTGTGTGTACTTTACAATGCTAGGGTAGCTTTGCGGCCTTTCCAAAAGGATGTAAATATTTGTCCTGCTTTTTTTCAAAAATAGCTGATAAGGTTGGTTATATCTAGATAACATAATGAAAAATAATTTCAAGAAATTATTTCAAAGTAATAATTTCTTAATTATTTTAAGAAATAGTTTTAAGAAATTATTTTGTCTTGAAGCCTAAAGACTCCTCATACTCCCTCTTCTATCCTTCATCTTTTATTAACGTAACACTCTCGGTTTGTGGAACACCTTTCTCGTTAAGAACACTAATGTTTAAAAATGACAAAATAATAACAGCTAGTGAAAGTGGTTAGAGGTTAACCCAATTGCATTTGGTTAAATTGTTGGGTTGATAATGACTGATAAAAATTTCCAAATGATGTGACTGACTATAAACAAAATATTGCATGGTAGACTAGCCATTTGCTAAGAACCTCTAAAGAAAACCTGTTTGTTTGAATTGAGTACAGATCAAGCCATTCCCCAAGCTCCTCAGATCTCATTTACTAAGTCATTTTTCCACAGGTGTGAATTAGAGATAAAAATAGAGTGAGTTCTGTGTTTTTGTTTTATTTTTTGTTTCTCCTTTCCGTAGTGAACTAGTATCTCTATTTCACTGGAATGGTAACTTAGATGTGATTATGTATAAGAAAGGGTAATGTGAAAACAAAATGCTATAATTGGACAACATGATACTTTAGGCTTCTGCATTTTTAAAACATAAATGCATGATGCTTGTTGAAGTATGAAGAACCCTATTGAAGTTTTTGGGTTTTGTTTTGTTTTTTGAGACAGGGTCTCACTGTGTCACCCAGAGTTCAGTGGCACAGTCGTGGCTCATTGCTGCCTCTATCTGCTGGGCTCAACTGATCTTCCCAGCTTGGCCTCCCAAAGGGTTGGGATTACAGGCATGAGACACCATGCCTGGCCTCAAGTCTTAACATAGAACATATGATGGGGAGCATTTCAATCCTAACTTCATTTGATACAGTAGGATAATAATGCCATAATTAACTTGAAGAATTAATTAAAATGGATAATCTCTCCATTATTATGATTCGTTATTTGTGAATAAAAACTAAAATAGAAAAAAAAAACCCTGAAGAGAGACATACTGCTTTTTTCTTTTTTTTGAGACAGGGTCTCACTCTGTCTGCCAGGTGGGAGTGCGGTGGCATGATCATGGCTCACTGTATCCTCAACTTCCTGGACTCAAACAATCCTCCCACCTCAGCTTCCTGTGTAGTGGGGACTACAGGCATGAGCCACCATGCCTAGCTAATTTTGTTATTTTTTGGTAGAAATGTGGTCTCACTATGTTGCCCAGGCTCATCTTGAACTCCTGAGCTCAAGTGATCCTTGTACCTTGACCTCCTAAAATTCTGGGATTACAGATGTGAACCACCACGCCCAGTAACACTTCTTTTATTTTATTTTATTTTTATTTTTATTATTTTCTTTTGAGACAGAGTCTCGCACTGATGCCCAGGCTGGAGCGCAGTGGCACGATCTCAGCTCACTGCAGCCTCTGCCTCCTGGGTTTAAGCCATTCTCCTGCCTCAGCTTCCCGAGTAGCTGGGATTACAAGCACACACCACCACACCTGGCTAATTTTTGTATTTTTCATAGAGACAAGGTTTTGCCATGTTGGCCAGGCTGGTCTTGAACACCTGACCTCAAGTGATCTGCCCACCTCGGCCTCCCAAAGTGCTAGGATTACAGGCGTGAGCCACCATGCCTAGCCAACACTTCTTAATTACTGGCTGACGTAGAGTTTAACCTTCCAACACTTTATTCTGATAAGTTTACCTCCTTTCCTTTCAAAGTAAAAGGTATAATGTTGCATGTTGGGAAAAATAGTTTCTCATCTTTAATGCATTTTTTGTATTTAATTTTCAGGAAGGGCCTATAGCTCTGATATTAGTAAATATTACATGAAATAGTTTTTAATTTGGATTGATTTCAAAAAAATAACGTGTGCTACTTTTTTTTTTTTTTTTGGTCGGTGGTAGGGAGATGGAGTCTCACTCTGTTGCCCAGGCTGGAGTGCAGTGGCATGATCTCAGCTCACCGCCACCTCCGCTTCCCGGATGCAAACGATTCTCCTGCCTCAGCCTCCCAAGTAGCTGGGATTATAGGCACCGCCACCACGCCTGGCTAATTTTTTGTATTTTTAGTAAAGATGGGGTTTCACCATGTTGGCCAGACTGGTCTCGAACTCCTGACCTCAGGTGATCCACCTGCCTTGGCCTCCCAACGTCCTGGGATTACAGGTGTGAGCCACCGTCCCCGGCCCTGTGCTACTTTAATAATAAGTTTCTGTATCTTTGAAACTTACATAAAAAATATGAAGACAATTTTAGGTTTTTCCTCCCCTGCCCCCCTTGCCCTTCAATAAAACCCCACTACCCTTCACTATTCCACATAGAAACTTGAAATATATGTTTTTGGTTTTGAATCATTGTGCATTTTTACGATTAAATAAATTATAAAAATGTATAATCGTACTTTGCCCTTAGTGAACTGGGTGCCTGAAGTTTCTTGACTGAAAAGAAATGAAGTCAGCCAGGAGTTGAAAACAAGAGAGGGAGGATATTTCTTAACTCTTATTTCATCTAGTCTTCATTGAGAATCTGCTTTTAAATTTGATTTTGTTCTTTTTTACAAAATTTTTTGACTTGGGTTTTTATAGTTTCAAATTCTTGTTTTGAATCTAGAAGAAAACAAGAAATACACTGTATGTCTCATAAATTGATTGGAAACTGTAAGTCATGTGAAAATTCTATTTTAATTGTCCTGTTTCTTTCTTTTCATAGGTAAAGAGAAATGTGTATGACCTTACAAGTATCCCCGTTCGCCACCAATTATGGGAGGGCTGGCCAACTTCTGCTACAGACGACTCAGTAAGTGACAGTCAAATTTTCAGTTTTATATCCTCCTTTCTCTTTTGCCACTTTCAGTCTAATTGGCTTTGATAATAAGCACAATTAAATGCTTTGAGTCTTCCATTGAAAGAATTATCTAGCCAGGCACGGTGGCTCATGCCTGTAATCCCAGCACTTTGGGAGGCTGAGGCGTGTGGATCACCTGAGGTCAGGAGTTTGAGACCAACCTGGCCAACATGGTGAAACCCCATCTCTACTGAAAACACAAAAATTAGCTGGGCATGGTGGCGGCCGCCTCTAATCCCACTACTCAGGAGGTTGAGATAAGAGAATCACTTGGCGGCCGCCTCTAATCCCACTACTCAGGAGGTTGAGATAAGAGAATCACTTGAACCTGGGAGGTGAAGGTTGCAGTGAGCCGAGATTGCGCCATTGCACTCCAGCCTGGGCGACAAAAGCGAAACTCCATCTCAAAAAAAAAAAAAAAAGAAATATCTAAAACCAAGCAATGTGAAAGTAAGAGAAGTTGTAATAATTTGAGTTCACTTTTAGAACAGATATCACAAGCCAAGCAGGTCAACATTCTGTTGGTAATGTTACAGTATCAATGCAAAAATTTGATGCTGCTGGATTTGACTTTGACTTAGTTTTTTTCTTGATGAGAAGAATATATTCAGATACTACTAATGAAATGTTCAAGGCAAAAACATTTTCTTTCCTAAATTACAGATATTTCAAAATCAAGCTAATCATTATATTTAATTTTAAAACTACCTTTTTCATAGTAGACTGATACTTAAAAGTTAATTTTTATAGTTAATAACACTTTAATCTCAAACATACCCATAAATTTTGCTACCATAAGAAGCTGGAAGAAAATGTCTGTCATTTTTACCCTTATTATATATTTTATAATGATTTCCTTATTGTAAATGTTTGAAGCCTTTCCTATCTCTGTCATTTCCACTCATTGCTGTTTTCTATGAGAGTAAATTTCATTATATAAGGAGGCCATCTGAAATTCAGTTTTGGCCACTTTTCCCCATAAACTTGCTTATTCTAACCAGATACCTAAGTTTTTTTAAAAAGTAAAAGTAAAAATGAGAATGTTTCTGGAAATCTCAAGTTACATCTAATTTTTAAAATAAATAGGGCTAAAAAGAAATTGGGACTTTGTAAACATCTTGTAATGATCAATACTGAAATAATGATTATGCCTAGGAATTGAATTATCTTTTAACATTTTCTAGTAAATATTATGTTTCTGCCTGGATAATAACTACAGTTCACTCCTCTTCCAGCATCACCACTATATATTTTAATATAAAAGAATTCTTTGTGGAAGACAGAAAAGTTTTAAGACAATTTATGTAGATGCTACTTGAATCTAATTACAATGTAAACAGTATGCCTTTGGAACATGCTTTGTGGATTATGAAATTTTAAAAATCAGAAACTTTAATAATCAGAAAATAGCAAAACCTTTATTTTTGGTCAGGCACGGTGACTCACACCTGTAATCCCAGCACTTTGGGAGGCCGAAGCCGGTGGATTACCTGAGGTCAGGAGTTTGTTTATTTATTTATTTTTGACTTGGAATCTTGCTCTATCGCCCAGTCTGGAGTACAATGACACAATCTTGGCTCATTGCAACCTCCACCTCCTGGGTTCAAGCGATTGATTCTCCTGCCTCAGCCTCCCAAGTAGCTGGGATTATAGGCGCCTGCCGCCACACCCGGGTAATTTTTGTATGTTTAATAAGGACGAAGTTTCACCAAGTAGGCCAGGCTGGTCTTGAACTCCTGACCTAAGGTGACCAGCCTGCCTCGGCCTCCCAAAGTGCTGAGATTACAGGCATGAGCCACCGTGCCTGGCCGAGGTCAGGAGTTTGAAACCAGCCTGGCCAACATGGTGAAACCCTGTCTCTACCAAAAATACAAAATTAGCCGGGCGTGGTGGCTTGTGACTTTAATCCCAGCTACTTGGGGGGCTAAAGCAGGAGGATCACTTGAACCTGGGAGGGGGAGGTTGCAGTGAGCCAAGATTGTGCCATTGCACTCCACTGGGCAATAAGAGCAAAACTCCATCTGAAAAACAAAAACAAAAGCCCCTTTATTTTTAATAAACACTTCCAGAAAAAAAAATCTTTAGGTTTAGGTGCTTAAATTTGTTTCTGAAAAACTGATTTTAGCATTGATGTTATAGTATATAATTAGAATTATTGGCTGGTCATCTATGGCTAAGGATAGGGATGTGTTTGTGGTTTTCTTGTGGTTTTTTTTTTGTTGTTTTTCTTGCTTGAGTGAGAAATTTGATAGAAAATGTGCTACCTTTATTTTTACAAAAATAAAAGAATAATGTTCATACATGATGGTCTACTGTTTACCTGAGGAGGCATGAAGAAAACAGAAATGTTCTCAGTATTGTCTAAGAACTTGTTACAAGAAATAGTAATATTAATAGAAGAAGATAATTAAGACCTGAGCATATCATTAAATTCTCTGAGCTTTAATTTTGTCACTAATTTGCAGAACTATTATGAAGATAAGTGATAATATAAATACAGTACCTGGCTCATAGTAGACACTCAGTAAATGAGTCGACATTATAATTAAGATAACTGCAAAAAAAGTTATTGTAATTACAGATTACAATTACAGGCAAGAATTGGCTGGTTTAAAGAAATGAAGTGATGTCTGAGACTTGCTTCAGAATAACCTATGTGTGGCAGAGTGAGTGAGGATAGAGCTAATTTAGATTAGGCATCTATCAATCATTGTTGAATCTAGGTGATACATATATTGGGTTTATTATACTGTTCTCTCAACTTTTGTATATATTTGAAAATTTTCATAATAAAAAGTTTAAAGCAAAAATAGTTGTCTTGTTTAAGAGCAGGGACATAAGATAATAGAGAAACTCTGGAAATGTGGGGCTTCACAGGGTTGGAAAAGCCAACTGCTTTTGCACCCCACCCTTGTAGAAACCAGACTGAAATTGGCTTATCAGGTACAAGTTCCAAGAATGATAGGCAAAGTCGATGAAATATGATCAATTCTTCTGCCTGTAAAATAGTGCCTTATACATTTTAGGTGCTAATTCATTGAATTGAGTTGGCATGGTCTTTTATGAGACCCATGTTTTAATGGTTTTTATAACATTTAATTTTTTGCCAAAGAGTTGTCATGCAGTCTAATTACTATAGGAAAATATGGAAAGCAGCTAAAACTGTTTGTTTCCAAGACTGTAATACTACTTGGTGCTCTTAAGTCACAGCAAACACAAGAGGGAATCCCTATTAAGAGGCTTGATTCTTTTAGCCTCATTATTGCCATTTGCACCTTGTCCCAGAACCTGTGAAGTGGTGCCTGCCCACACCTCCCCAGAGCAAATGTTGCGGCATTGGCAGGGTGTTGCCTTGAGCTTGCATGATTTGATACAACAAAGATGTTTAGGGCCAGGCTGCTTTTAACTGATGCCACAGCAGATTCACTAGCTCCAGTGCTTGAATTTAGCCAAAAATGGCTTATAACTAGTATTCTGAGGAGATCCTGGCCAAATAATATGTCGTAAAACCTTTTTCATTAGGAGTATAAAAACTCATAAAACTGGTACTTGTAGTCTATATTTGTTGCAGGCGGTGGTGTTTTTATACTTACTGAAATCATTCAAGTGGAGGCATCTGCTACAAAACAAAATAGTCCTCACAGCTTAGGGCATGAATTGGGTACAGCTGAGAAATGTCAGCTGTGTAAACAGCCTGAAATGTGTTACCAACAAAAATATAATTAATTTCTTTCCAAGACAGTGTGCCATAACTTAATACTTAGAATGGTTTAACTTTCAGAGAAAGCACCTGAACATTTGCTTCCTAGTGCCAGAGTAGAGGATTGGTTATAAAGGTCATTAAAAGTGAGGTCATTTTGTACTTTTATTGCTCAGTTGAAGAAATTTGTGTGGCTTTAAATATACAGTAGCCTTAGATATCATTGGATTCTGTGAATTTATGAAAATACCATAGATCAAGAAATTAATGGATTTGGGGTGATGAAAATGTTCTAAAAATTAGATTGTGGTAAAGGTTGCACATCTCTAAAGTTTTAAAAAATAATTGAACATTTAAAATGAGTGAATTTTATGGCATATAAATTATGCCTCAGTGAAGCTATTTTTTTAAAAAAGAAGTTAATTAACTAGATTAAAATACTTTTTCACTTACATTTTTATCCTGCATGAGAAATACTTTGCAGTAACACAAGAGATGTTTTGTTCAGTATACTTCTCATTAACCTTTGACTCACCCAACAGGAGAAAGAAATAGACCTCTTGTAATCAATTCTTTTATAATCTTGAGTCTCTTATGAACCTAATAGACTTCAGTCTTGGGCATTTTCAGGTTACTCAGTGAAGTCAACACTCATTTACAACATTGTTGCCCATCTCCCTTCAGAGTTAACGTATTTTCTTTGCTTGTGGTTGTACTCGAATAGGGTGTGGGATACTGTATGAATTGTCAGTAACTCCGTTCCTTTTGTACTCTTTGATCAGGGAAATAGGTATCTAAAGCTTTACCAGTAGGAAAATGTTTTCATGCTGTGACAGTTCAGCTGTGAGAACAAGGAGTTACAAGTAGGCAAAATCTCATTTTACACTTTAACAAGGAAGCTCTTGGTTTCTAGATAGGAGAAATAATTTTAACACTGTGAATTATGTTTAGATACCTTATTACAATGCAGACAATATGAATACATGTAGTTCTTTTTAAATTCCTGGATTTAATAATGCTTATACAAAGAAAACTCTTTCAGTTTTTTGTTTTTATTTTTATTTATATATTTTTTTGAGACAGTCTTGCTCTGTCACCCAGGGTGGAGTGCGGTGGTGAGATCTCAGCTGACTGCAACCTCTGCCTCCCAGGTTCAAGTGATTCTTATGCCTCAGCATCCCAAGTAGCTGGGATTACAGGCGTATACCACCATGCCCAGCTCATTTTTGTATTTTTAGTAGAGACAGGGTTTCGCTGTGTTGGCCAGGCTGGTCTTGAACTTTTGGCCTCGAACTCTTGGCCTCAAGTGATCCTCACCTCGGCCTCCCAAAGTGCTGGGATTACAAGCCTAAGCCACTGTGCCCGGCCAACTCTTTCAGTTTTATTACTTTTTTTTTTTTTTTTTTTTTGAGACAGAGTTTCGCTCTTGTTGCACAGGCTGGAGTGCAATGGTGTGATCCCGGCTCACCGCAGCCTCTGCTTTCCGGATTCAAACGATTCTCCTGCCTCAGCCTCCCGAGTAGCTGGGATTACAGGCATGCACCACCACGCCCGGCTAATTTTGTATTTTTAGTAGACATGGGGTTTCTCCATGTTAGTCAGGCTGGTCTCGAACTCCCGACCTCAGGTGATCCGCCCACCTCGGCCTCCCAGAGTGCTGGGATTACAGGCATGAGCCACCGTGCCCAGCTTAATACTTTATTATTGTGCTTTCTCTCTCTCTCTCTTTGACGGAGTCTTACTCTGTCACCCCCAGGCTAGAATGCAATGGCATGGTCTTGGCTCACTGCAACCTCCACCTCCCAGGTTCAAGCAATTGTCCCTCCTCAGCCTCCCGAGTAGCTAGGACTACAGGCACGTGCCATCATACCCAGCTAATTTTTTTCTTTTTCTTTTTTTTTTTTTTTTGTAGTTTTAGTAGAGACGCGGTTTCATAAGTTGGCCAGGCTGGTCTTGAACTCCTGACCTTGTGATCCACCTGCCTCGGCCTGTCAAAGTGCTGGGATTACAGGCATGAGGCACTGTGCCCAGACTTTTCTTTCTTGATTACTAATGCTCTTCTGTATTTCTGTCATTGGCCACAAAATATTCACTCAGAATTGAGAAACTAGGAATTTTAGAATCAAAGCTCTTTGGGCGTGTGTTAGGATTCAGAAAGCTACTTATTAAATATTTTCACATTGAGAATGTGAAATAATTTACAAGTAAAACCATTACACAGTGGCTTTTATATAAAATAAAAAGAGCCAGGCACAATGGCTCACACCTGTAATCCAGCACTTTGGGAGGCCAAGATGGGTGGATCACCTGAGGTCAGGAGTTCAAGACCATCCTGACCAACATGGAGAAACCCCATCTCTACTGAAAATACAAAATTAGCCAGGTGTGTGGCGCATGCCTGTAATCCCAGCTACTTGTGAGGCTGAGGCAAGAGAATTGCTTGAACCCGGAAGGCGGAGGTTGCAGTGAGAGATTGCGCCATTGCACTCCAGCCTGGGCAACAAGAGCAAAACTCTGTCTAAAAAAAAAAAAATTAAAATGAATAAATACATAAAATGAAAACTGCACACAGCCCTCTCCCCACCCCACTCTTAAATAGAAATGAATCTGAAGGCTGGACACGGTGGCTCACACCTGTAATCCCAGCACTTTGGGAGGCCAAGGCAGACGGATCACGAGGTCAGGAGTTCGAGACCAGCCTGGCCAACGTATTGAAACCTGTCTCTACTAAAGTTACAAACAATTAGGGCCAGGCCCCCTAACTTTTGAGATGGAGTTTCGCTCTTGTTACCCAGGCTGGAGTGCAATGGCACGATCTTGGCTCACCGCAACCTCCGCCTCCTGGGTTCAAGTGATTCTCCTACCTCAGCTTCCCGAGTAGCTGGGATTACAGGCATGCGCCACCACACCCAGCTGATTTTATATTTTTAGTAGAGCTGGGGCTTCTCCATGTTGGTCAGGCTGGTCTTGAACTTCCTACCTCAGGTGATCCGCCTACCTCGGCTTCCCAAAGTGCTGGGATTGCAGGCATGAGCCACCGCGCCCAGCCAAAGTTAATATTTCTAAATAGAAGTACAACATGAATCACATTCAGCCTTGCTTACTTATTTTCAATGGCTCCTTTATGTACAGATTTTTATGCTGGCATTCAAAACCCTTCATTCTTTAGTCTGAAACTTCCCTTCCAGGTTTGTTTTCCCATACAGGCTCTGAGTAAATACTTGATAAATATTTGTTGAATGAATGATTGAATATTACACCATATGTGTCTCAGCTTTAGCTAAATACTTATCTTACTATTTTTCGAATATACTTGGTACTCTCCCACTCTGTCATTTAATCATACTCTTCCTTCCACCTAGAATACCTACAACAATTATCTCCTTCCTTGAAGACCTTTTTGTTTTTTTGTTTTGTTTTGTTTTGTTTTGTTTTGAGACGGAGTTTCACTCTTGTCACCCAGGCTGGAGTGCAATGGCACGATCTCGGCTCACTGCAACCTCTGTCTCCGGGGTTCGAGCAATTCTTCTGCCTCAGCCTCCTCATAGCTGGGATTACAGGCGTGTGCCACTGTGCCTAGCTAATTTTTGTATTATTAGTAGAGACGGGGTTTCACTATGTCGGCCAGGCTGGTCTCTAACTCCTGACCTCAGGTTATCCACCTGCCTCGGCCTCCCAAAGTGCCAGGATTGGAGGCGTGAGCCACCGCGCCCAGCCAAGACCTTTTCTTTGAGAAACCCTGCCTATGCCCTTCTTCCCGTGCTGCCTTCTCCAACCCTCTTAGAAATGCATTTATAGTTCTCTTCTTCTACTTAAGTTTTTTTCACTTTTTTCTTATTTTGTTATTTGTTTCCTTCATTTCTCCCTTCCTTCCTCCTCTCTGGCTTCATCTGGGTCACCACAAGCAACTTAATGTCTATGGATCTCAGTCTCCGTAACTGTCGAACAATAACTCGTAGAGTTATTGTGAAGATTAAAGAGTCAGTAGTTACAAGAATACTTACTGCTAGGTTTATTTTGAAGACTGAAGTAGTATGTACTAGAAAGAATGCCTTAACATGGTTGACTTTTGGCTATTACTGTGTTTTATTTATTGTTTTAATCTATCTATTCATTCACTTGACATTTGTGGAACAACTCTGTTAAAAGAAAACTTCAGACAAATTAAATTTAACAGAGTTTAATTGAACAAGAAAAAAAAATGATTCGCAAATTGGCAGCCTCCAGAATCATAGCAGATTCAGAGAGACTCCAGGAATGCCTCGTGGTTAGAACAAATTTATAGACAAAAAAAGGAAAGTGACGTACAGAAAGAAGCGAGGTACAGAAACAGCTGTATTGGTTACAGGTTGGCATTTGCCTTATTTGGAAACAGTTTGAACATTTAGCAGTGTATCAGTGGTTGAAGAATGGCTGCTGAGATTGGCCAAGACTTAACTATTATTATAGGCATATGCTCATAAGTTAGGTTTTCAGTCTTGTCTACCTATTAAGTTAGGTTAAGCTTCCTCCACCAGGACTCAAATGTAGAAGTCCGGAGCCCTAGGCTGGGCATGGTGGCTCATGCCTATACTCCCAGCGGTTTGGGAGGCTGAGGCAGGTGGATTGCTTGAGACCAGGAGTTTGAGACCAGCCTGGCCAACATGGTGAAACCCTGTCTCTACTAAAAATACAAAAAAAATTAGCTGGGCGTGGTGGCTCACACATGTGATCCCAGACACTCAGGAGGCTGAGACACAAGAATTGCTTGAACCTAGGAGGCGGAGGTTGCAGTGAGCCAAGAGCATGCCACTGTACTCCAGCCTGGGTAACAGAGCGAGACTATGTCTCAAAAGAAAGAAGAAGAAATAGAGTCCTTCTGAGATCATATTTAGTTCGCTTTAACAACTCTTACAGGCCAGTAACTGTGCTGGCCCTTAAAGTTGCAATGATAAGATCTTGCTTCTCAGAGATTGATGAGTTTGGTGGGAGACATATATAAACAATGACAACTGAAGTATATAAATGCAATGGGATCATAGAAGAGGGAACAACCAATTTTGCTAACAGTTAGTGGTAGTGAAAAAATGACTTCTCAGTGAAAGGGACATTTGATTATGTTTTAATTTGTATACTTGTATTCCTCCTTTTGTAAATTATAAGCATTGGAAGTAAGAAATGTCTTCACATTTATATCAAAGAGTGTTTTAGGCATTTATTTAAATTGCATTCATTTATTTAAATTGTTCAGTGCTCCACAAAGTTGACATCTATGGCAATAAACAACTAAAGGATCGATTTGTATGAGTATAGTAATTGGATAAACATTTTGAGAATCATTTATTTCTAATAAAAATTAAGTTATCAAAACTAAGCATTTTATAGCAGCAAGTAGAATAACAGATTTAGGAGTGTGCAGAGCTACATTGTGAGCCGATTTTTACCAATGTGTGTGTGTGTATATATGTATGGGTGGGAGGCAGAGGAAATGGAGGTGGAGGAGAATGCAATTGAGCAAACCAGTCCAAGTTTGTTGAATCCTAACATTACTATTATTTAGATGTTACTTAATGTTTGAGCTTCAGTTTCTTTATCTACAAAATGGAGATGATATTAACACACTTGAAAACCTATTGTGAAGATTACATGGGTTAACATATTATTAGGTGGGACCATATGAAGTTGCCATTTTTTAGGGACAAAAATGGTTGCAGATTAGAAGTTTCATACAATTATATCTAATATGTAAAGCACATAATATAATGCAGGGGTTGACAGTTATGACTGTGAGCCCAAATCTCACTCAGCATCTGTTTTTGTCAATAGTATTTTCTTGGGACACATTCACACCGATTTATTTTTTTTCTTCCTTTTTTTTTTCTTTTTTTAGACGGAGTCTCACTCTGTCCCCCAGGCTGGACTGCAGTGGCGTGATCTCAGCTCACCGCAACCTCCGCCTCCTGGGTTCAAGAGATTCTCCTTCCTCAGCCTCCCGAGTAGAGTAGCTGGGACTACAGGCAGGTGCCACCACGCCTGGCTAATTTTTGTATTTTTAGTAGAGACGGGGTTTCACCATGTTGGCCAGGCTGGTCTCAAACTCCTGACCTCAGGTTCTCCCCGCCTTCGGCCTCCCCAAATGCTGGGATTATAGGCATGAGCCATAGCGCCTGGCCACATTGATTTCTTAATGTACTGTGCCACAGCTGCTGTCACACTATAAGCAGGGATATATAGTTGCAAACAAAGACCATGTGGCCCACAAAACCTGAAATATCTACTGTCTGGCCCTTTACGGAGAAAGTTTGCCAACCCCTGGTGTAATGTCTGGCATTTAGTAGGCATTCAACAAACATTAACTCTCTTTCCCTTGAGTAAGCACCTTCTTTATATTGCATACACATGCAGAATCAGAAGCATTCTTTGAATAGCTTCAGGGTCATCTTATGCTATTTAAATTACTTTGTTAGCCTGTCCTAGGGCAGACAGATTCAGGCAATCTTTGGACATTTTCACTGACTTTTTCATTATTTGGGAAGGTCATGGATAATGTTGCTTCTGATGGTGGTGAGACTCAGTAGCTTCAGAGGGTTCATTGCCCTTGTCAACATATAGAGTCTTTTGCAAATAACACAGGCAAAGACTAAACAGATGGAAAGAACAGCTTTGAAAGCAGTAGAAGAAAGTTTGGGTTTAAAAGAAAAGAAAAGTTGTGAAATGAATTCTATTCTGAACAAGAGTGAGAAGTTTGGGAATGTGGATGAAGCACTCAAGGGAAATGTTTGCTCAGTAAATATGAAGAAGAACACATGGAAGCAAGACAGCCCCAGTTGGAAACTTACAAGCACTAAGACCTGATGCTGTGGGTCTTGATTTCAGTTTATTAAAATCCCAAACCTGTAGACTGCTGCTTCTGCCCATGAAGGGATAACTGCTTTGGGATTTTCCCCCTCTCTGTAAACAACTGCAAGACAGGATAAAATACATGAAACAACTGTTTTCAGATATTAGCCAACAGGACTCTGAAGAAGGAAACAAGAGTTCTATGAGAGTCTTAAATTCTGCCTGGAGGCAACTTCTGGATCCCATAGCAGGAAAGGGAAAGTAAAACAGAACTTGGTAATTTCGCTGAGTTGAAGGGACAGAGATTGGAGTTTTGGGAGGCTCCAGCGGCTATATTTTGCAAAGCAGACTACCAGCAGAGAAAAATCTCCAGAAATCTGCATGGGGTTCCCCAAGTCTTTAGCTGAATACCAGTCTCTGTGCATGCATAGGGTGAAAATCCAGAAGGCTAAGCAAAGAGAAATTGTTAGGAAAAAGAGTAGTTAACTGGAGCTATAAGGTAAACAATCCCCAGAGTTTACACAAAACTAAAACTGCTTCAAGTTTCTTCCAACTACACATTGTAGAGACACCTCAGTGAATACACAGGGCATTCAGTAGCTATCTTCAGAAGAGTTAACACCTTAGTGGAGTGGATAAATTGGCCCTAGAATGAAGGCTACTCCAGGACTTTTTAAAAGCTTAAAAAGAAGCCTGAATAAGGAATAAGCTGATTAATAGGTAACTGCCTCTAAAAACAAAGTCCAGCATCCAATTAAAAGTTACTGCACATACGAACAAGCAGGAAAATCTGACCCATAACCAGAAAAGAAGTCAGTCAAAAGAAACAGACATGGAAGTTACTTAGATAATGAAATTGGCAGACATGGACTTTAAAGTAGCTTTTATAAATGCTATGAAAGTGCTCAAGGACTTAAGTGAAAACATAAGAGGAAATAATAAAATATATAAAAGAGAACAAAGTATCATGGCAGGGTGGGAGTGGGGGCAGCGATGGCTCTTGTCTGTAATCCCAGCACTTTGGGAAGCTGAGGCGGGAGGATCACTTGAGCTCTGGAGTTTGAGACCAGCCTGGCCAACATGGCGAAACCCCAGCTCTACTAAAACTACAAAAATTAGCCAGGCATGGTGGTGCATGCTTGTAATCCCAACTACTCAGGACACTGAGGCAGGAGAATTGCTTGAATCTGGGAGGCGGAGGTTGCTGTGAGCTGAGATCGTGCCACTGCACTCTAGCCTGGGTGACAGAGTGAGACTGTGTCTCAAATAAAAGAAAAATTTTTTTTAAAAGAACAAAGTAACACTTCTAGAGATAAATAATATAGTATCTATCTGAAGTACAAATTTTACTGGATGGGATAAATAACAGCTTAGACAATGCCCAAGAAAAGATCAGTGAATTTAAAGATACAGCAATAGAAACTGTTCCCATTAAACAGTTCCCATTAAAAGATAAATTTTAGGAAAAAAATTAATAAGCAATATGGAATTTTTAACATGTAGAAGTAAAATGTTTAAGAACAGTAGCACACAAAAAAAAAACCAGAATGGAAGTGTACCATTAGTGATCCTACATTATAAATGAAGTTGTATACTGTTAATCAAAGGTAATCTGTTAGGTTAATAATGCATGTTGTAAACCTTACAGCAGCCACAAAAGAAAGAAAGAAAAAGAAATATAGCTAAAAATCCATTAAAAGAGATAAAACGCAATGCTGAAAAAAGTACAAATAAAACAGAGAAAAGGCCAGGCGTGGTGGCTCATGCCTGTAATCCCAGCACTTTGGGAGGCCGAGGCGGGCGGATCACCTGAGGTCAGGAGTTCAAGACCAGCCTGGCCAACATGGTGAAACCCTGTCTACAAAAATTAGCCAGGCATGATGGCAGGTGCCTGTAATCCCAGCTACTTGGGAGGCTGAGGCAGGAAAATCGCTTGAACCTGGGAGGCAGAGGTTGCAGGGAGCCAAGATCGTGCCATTGAACTCTAACCTGGGCAACAGAATGAGACTCTGTCTCAAACAACAACAACAAAAAAGAAAACAGAAAAAAAGGGAACAGAGAACAGATGGGATAAATACAAACAGCAATATGGTTTAAATCTAACCATATTGATAATTACAGTAAGTATGAATTACATTAAAAGGAAAAGATTATTAAAAATGAACTTTAAAAAACAAGATTCAACTGACTACAAGAATTTTATTTTATTTTATTATTATTATTTTTTAGATGGAGTCTCACTCTGTCGCCCAGGCTGGAGTGCAGTGGCGTGATCTTGGCTCACTGCAACCTCTGCCTCCCGGGTTCAAGTGACTCTTCTGCCTCAGCCTCCTGAGTAGCTGGGATTACAGGCATATGCCCCTACGCCTGGCTAATTTTTGTATTTTTAGTAGAGACGGGGTTTCACCGTATTGGCCAAGCTGGTCTCAAACTCCTGACTTTGTGATCCCCCCGCGTCGGCCTCCCAAAGTGCTGGGATTACAGGTGTGAGCCACCGTGCCTGGCCCAAGAATTATATTTTAAATGAGAACAATAGGTTGATCTACTTTTAACATTCTTCCACTAAACAAGCATAAAAATATTTGCCATCCAAACACTAAACATAAGAAATTTGGGATGACTGTGACATCAGAAAAGATACAGAACAAGGATTTTTTTTTTTTTTTTTTTCTGAGACAAAGTGTCACTTTGTTGCCCAGGCTGAAGTGCAGTGGCACAGTCTTGGCTCACTGCAACCTCCGCCTCCAGGGTTCAAGCAATTCTCGTGCCTCAGCCTCATGAGTAGCTGGGATTACGGGCACCCGCCACCATGCCTGGTTGATTTTTTGTATTTCAGTAGAGATGGGGTTTCACCATGTTGCCCAGGGTGGTGTTGAACTCCTGATCTCAGGCTATCCACCTGTCTTGGCCTCCCAAAATGCTAGGATTACAAGCATGAGCCCCCGCGCCTGGCCAGAACAAGGAATATTATCAGGACTAAAAAAAGAGATTCTGTAATAATTAAAAGGTCATTTCATCCAGAAGACAGAATGATCCTAAATGTGTATGTGCCTGGTAACAGTTTCAAAATACGCAAAGCCAAAGCTGACACACAGGTAGAGATTTCATTTTCCTTTCTCAGTGGTTTACAGAAAAATGATAGGTAAGAATGTAGATTTGGCCAACATGATTAATCAACTTTGCCTAATTTAAATTTGTAGACACTTCACCCAATAATAGCAGGATACATATTCCTTTCAAGTGTGCATGATGCATTTACAAAAATAGACTATAACCTGGACCATAAATATTTATTTATTGTCTCAATACACATTAGATGATTGTAATTAATATTATCACTAACCAAACATAATTAAATTATGTATCACTAACACAGTGGCCTGAAGCTCTTCAAATATTTGAAATAAAAAACATACTATTTTTTTAAATTCATGAGTCAAAGAAGAAATCAGAAAAGATTGGTAACATTTTAAACTAAATTAAAATGAAAACATAGCATATTAAATTTGTGGGATTCAGTTAAACAGTGCTTAGAGGAGAATTCATAGTTTAAATGCTTATATTTAAAAGGCGGTCCAATGTCAATGAAATAATCATCTACCTGAAGAAGATAGAAAAAGAAGAGCAAATTAAATCCAAGTAGATTAAATGACATAGTAAAGATAAGAAAAAATCAATGAAATAAAAGACAAATTAGGAAAAATTATTGAAACCAAATGCTGACTCTTTGAAAAGATCAATTAGGCCAGGTGTGATGGCTCACACCTGTAATCCCAGCACTTTAGGAGGCTGAGGCAGGTGGATCATGAGGTCAAGAGATCGAGACCATCCTGGCCAACATTGTAAAACCCCATCTCTACTAAAAATACAAAAATTAGCTGGGCATGGTGGTGCGCACATGTAGTCCCAGCTACTCAGGAGGCTGAGGCAGGAGAATTGCTTGAACCCCAGAGGCAGAGGTTGCAGTGAGCCGAGATGGTGCCACTGCACTCCAGCCTGGCGACAGAGTGAGACCCAGTCTCAAAAAAAAAAAAAAAAAAAAAAATCAGCTGATAAACTCCTAGCTAGACTGATCAAGAGAAAAAGAGACTAGATATGAATTAACAGTGCCAGTAATTAATAAGAGGACATCATTACAAATCATACAGACAGTTAAAAGATGAAAAGGAAATGTGAATGACTTTGGGCCGATAAATTCTGCAACACTAGGCTGAAATGGACAAGTTGCTTGAAAGGTTAAAATTACCAAATTGATCCAAGAGAAATAGAAAACTAGAAAAGCCCAAATATAATTTTAAAAATTGAACTTGCAATTAAAAATCCTGCCATAACATGGGTGGATCACAAGGTCAGGAGATCGAGACCATCCTGGCTAACACGGTGAAACCTTGTCTCTACTAAAAATACAAAAAAAAGTAGCTGGGTATGGTGGTGGGCGCCTGTAGTCCCAGCTACTCAGGAGGCTGGGGCAGGAGAATGGCGTGAACCTGGGAGGCGGAGCTTGCAGTGAGCCGAGATCGCACCACTGCACTCCAGCCTGGGCGACAGAGCGAGACTCTGTCTCAAAAAAAAAAAAAAACTTGCCACAACAAAAACTTCAGGACCAGCTTATTACATTGCCAAACACTACCAGATATTTAAGGTAAACTAATTCTAATCCTCTTCATATTCTTTTCCAACTCATTTTATGAGGCTGCTGTTACATTTATACCAAAATTGGTCCGAGACATTGGGGAAAAAACCCAAAAAGCTACAGACCAATATCCTTTATGAAATACATGTTAAAAATTTTAACACATTTTACCAAATTGAATTTCACAGTAAATAAAAAGAATAGTACATGAATAATACATTTTAAAAGGGTGAATTTTATGTTATATGGTATGGTACCATATAACAACAAATAACAACAAAGCTGTTACTTTTTTTTTTTTTTTTTTTGAGATCGAGTCTTGCTCTGTCACCCAGGCTGGAGTGCAGTGGCATGATTTCGGCTCACTGCAACCTCCTCCTCCCAGGTTTAAGCGATTCTTCTGACTCAGCCTCCTGAGTAGCTGGGACTACAGGTGCATGCCACCATGCCCGGCTAATTTTTGTATTTTTAGTAGAGACAGGGTTTCACCATATTGGTCAGGCTGGTCTTGAACTCCTGACCTTGTGATCCACCCGCCTTGGCCTCCCAAAGTGCTGGGATTACAGGCGTTAGCCACCGCGCCCAGCCAAAGCTGTTACTTAAAAAAGAAAGAAGAGGGAAGGATGGGAAAAAGAAGACAAAAAAAAAGAACAAAAAGAGTTATGCATCATCATTGGGATTTATCTCAGGAGTACGTGGATGGTGCAACATTGGAACATCAACCAATGTAACTAATTTCATTAACAAAACTAAGAAAACATATACAATCAGGTGAATAAGGTCCTGGAAAAGCATTTAATAAAATTTAGCATACATTCATGATAAAAATCTATCAGCAAGGTAGGAAGGCAAAGTAGTATAGCCACTCTGGAAAACAGCGGCAGCTGCTTAGAAAATTAAGTAGACACTTAACATACAATCTCAACTCTTATATATTTTCCAAAGGGGAATGAAAACATGTTCTCACAAAGATTTGTACTTGAATTTTTATTGGAGCTTTATTTATAGTAGACAAAACCCAGATGCAACCCAAATGTCCGTCAACTAGTGAATGATAAGCAAATTGTGATATATCTATACAATGGAATGCTACTCCAAATGAAAAGCAGCAAACTACTGATAGATACAATACTTAAGTTAATGATGACAGGCACAAAGACTACATCACTGTGTGATTCCACATTTATGAAATGTGGAAAAACCAAAGCTATAACTTACAGAAATCCAGTCAGTGGGTTGCCAAGGAGTAATGGAGGAGACTGACTCCAATAGGGACACAAAGAAACTTTTGGGAGTCATAGAAATGTGTGTATTAGAATTGTGTTTGTGCTTATTGGAATATTGTGCAACTGGAATATTGGTGTATTTTATATATGTAAATGAGTCTTTCATAAAAATAAGTTTTTTTTCAAAGCAAAAGCAAACTAACTTAGCAAACTGGGAATAGAGAAGAATTTCCCCAGCCTGATAGAAGGACTCTATGAAAAAGCAATAGCTAGGCTGGGCGTGGTGGCTCATGCCTGTAATCCCAGCACTTTGGGAAGCCAAGGCGGGTGGATCACAATGTCAGGAGTTCAACACCAACCTGGCCAAGATGGTGAAACCCTGTCTCTACTAAAAATACAAAAAAATTAGCTGGGCATGGTGGTGGGCGTCTGTAATCTCAGCTACTCAGGAGGCTGAGGCAGAGAATTGCTTGAACCCATGAGGCAGAAGTTGCAGTGAGCGGAGATTGCGCCACTGCACTCCAGCCTGAGCAACAGAGCGTGACTCCATCTCAAAAAAAAAAAAAAAAAGAAAAAGAAAAAGAAAAAGCAATACCTACCGTATTTAATGGGGGAATACTTTCACTCTAAGATTGGAAATGATGTAAGGATGTTCACTTGCGCAAGTTCTATTCAATGTTATACTGCTAGTCTTAGTACAGTAAGGTTAGGAGGAAAGAAAACACATGCAGATTAGAAAGGAGGAAATAAAACTTTTTTTGTTTTACAAAATATTTAGTAGTTTGTTTCTTGGTAGATCCAACATAATCCACCAAAAAGCTAATAGATGTGACAAGTGAAATTAGCAAGGTCATGGGCCATGAGATCAATATACAAAAATCAATTGTGTTACAATATAATAGCAAACAACATTTTGAAATGGGTTTTAGAAAACTTATATGACTCGCAATTCTATCCAAAAACATGAAATATTTAAGGATACATTAATAAAATATTTATAAGATCTATACATTGAAAATGGCAAATAATTGGAGAGAAATTAACAAAATTAAGACATGGAATGAGCTACCATGATCATGTGTTGGTGTATATATATATATACACAAATTTATCTTAGATCAGAGATGACTTAAATGCAAAAGCTACAACTATTAAACTTGGGGAAAATATAGGAGAAAATCTTGGGATAGGAAAAAATTTCTGAGAGAGGACACTAAAAGCTTATAAGAGGGAAAAAATGGGTAAATTGGACTTCATTACTATATATATATGTGTATATATGTATACACACATATGCACACGCACACACACACACACACACACACACACACACATATATATATGTGTGAGCCACAGAGTGAGTCACAGAGCCTGGCCTACATTCAGTATTTTTAAGGCAGTACCTCCTCCCAGACAGCTATGGATTCACTGCAATGCCAATCAAAATCTCAATAGCATTTTTCATAGAAATTGGCAAATTAATTCCAAAAATTGTATGGAAATGTGAAAGAGCTAGTGTTCCTAAAACAATTTTCTGGGTTTTTTTTTTTGTTTTCTTTTTTTGAGACGGAGTCTTGCTCTGTCACCTAGGCTGGAGTGCAATGGCGCGATCTTGGCTCACTGCAACTTCCACCTCCCAAGTTCAAGCGATTCTCCTGCCTCAGCCTCCCGAGTAGCTGGGATTACAGGTGCCTGCCACCATACCTGGCTAATTTTTGTATTTTTTTTTTTTTTTTTTTTTTAGTAGAAATGGGGTTTTACCATGTTTATTGGGCTGGTCTCGTACTCCTGACCTCAGGTGATCCACCTGCCTTGGCCTCCCAAGGTGCTGGGATTACAGATGTGAGCCACCATGCCCAGCCTAAAATAGTTTTCAAAAAGAACAAAATTGGAAGACTTACACTCCCTGATTTCAAAAAATATTACTATAATATTCAATACAATGTGATATTTGTGTAAAGACAGACATAAATCAATAGGTAAAATAGAGTGTTCAGGAATAGATCCATATGTATGTGCTGTTAATTGGTTTTGTGCAAAGATAACAAAGTAATGCGGTGGAGACAGTTTGTTCTTTATTTAACAAATGGCGATGAGGCAACTGGATATCAGTAAAGATAGATAACTTCAACTTTTACCTTATGCCATACACAAATTTATCTTAGATCAGAGATGACTTAAATGCAAAAGCTACAACTATTAAACTTGTTGGAGAAAATATAGGAGAAAATCTTGGGATAGGAAAAAATTTCTGAGAGAGGACACTAAAAGCTCCTAAGAGGAAAAAAAATGGATAAATTGGACTTCATTACAATTGGCAACTTTTGCTTTTCAAAAGACAGGATTAAAAATAAAAACAAGGCCAGGCGCGGTGGCTCACGCCTGTAATCCCAGCACTTTGGGAGGCCAAGGCAGGTGGATCACCTGAGGTCAGTAGTTCAAGACTAGCCTGGCCAACATGGTGAAATCCCCTCTCTACTAAAAGTATAGTAGTCCTAGCTGCTCAGGAGGCTGAGGCAGGAGAATCGCTTGAGCCCGGGAGGCATAGATTGCAGTGAGCTGAGATCGCACCACTATACTCAAGCCAGGATGATAGAGGAGACTCTGTCTCAAAAAAAAAAAAAAAAAAAAAAAAAGGACACGCCCCAAACTAAGAGAAAATACAAATTTCATGGTGTTTGCCTCAGATCAGGTATGGTAGTTGACTAGAAAACACAAGGAAATTTTGAGAAGTGATGGAAATTTTCTATAATTTGAAAATTATACTAGTGGTTACAAGATTGTATAGATATATAAAAACTCTTCTAAATATGCTTTAAAATGGGTGCATTTTACTGTAGATAACTAGACCTCAATCAGTTTTATTTTTAATTAGTGGATTTAGGATGAGTATGTTGATCTGAGACCTTAACTGAGAAGACAAAGTACAGAACCAGGATTCAACATCAAATCTGTCTCCCCTCCCTTTTGCTTTCTCTTGTACCATGCCATTTCTTATATGTCCTTGCTTCTCAGAACAGTTCCAGTTTTAAAATATCCAGTCCAATTTATCCTATAATTGCATTTACACTGGCCAAACCATATGCCTTTATTGAGGTTTGGGAATTATAATACCAAGAGGCATGGATGGCTTTCCAAAGTATTTAGTCTATTCCCCTAGTAGCTGACCTAAATTTCTATTTATCAGTTGAGCAATTATCTTTACCTCTGCGCTAATCTAAGAAACCAATGGCAAAGGCCAGGCATGACATCAAGGAGTCAGTAAGGCCAGATGAGTGAGCTAAATGGCATCTATACAATTGAGTTTTCAGTCAGGGTGGGTGGTTTGCTTGAGCTTAGCGGTTTGAGACCAGCCTGAGCTCAGCAGTTCGAGACAAGCCTGGGCAACATGGTGAAACTCCATCTCTATCAAAAATACAAAAATTAGTTGGGTATAGTGGCATGCACCCGTGGTCGCAGCTACTCAGGAGGCTGAGGTGGGAGGATTGCTGGAGCCTGGGAAGTCAAGGCTTCAGTGAGCCATGATCATGACACTGCACTCCAGCCTGGGTGACAGAGTGAGACATGGTCTCAAGAAACAAAACAAAACAACAACCAGATTACTCTGGAGTAGGACAGTGTGCTAAAAATAATTTAGATTCTTTGCATTTCAAGTTGTAGAGGGAAAGTAGAGAAATTAGGCTGAGTTTTTCTTTGTCTTCATGTGATTAAACTGAATGTGAAGGTTTACAATTATTCAGTAAAAGGTAGAAACAAGCAAAAATGTGCCTTTATCTTCCTTTATTAGGTAGGCAGTATGTCTTTGAACATAAGTGAATTTCAAATTTTCATCATGGTACTTTGGTTTGTATGTCTGTGTGTTCTTGAATGGTAGCCATATTATTAATGTGTCAGGAAATAGCAGTAGTACTCTATTTTGGTGCTCACAGTTACTTAAAGTGTAGATGAGTATATTAAGAGACATGTATATAGTGATTTGTAGTTTACAAAGTGTATTTCTTGTACATGATCTTATCTGAGCCAAGTAGTAGATTATAAGTGACTAATTTTTAATAGAAATTATATACAGTAGAATATAGTTACTATCTGTTATCCTAAATTTTCCTTAGGGTTGCTTGAAACCACCCTTTTCTGCCTAGTGCTTGTAATCATTTTCCTTCTATGAGACTGTGAACTCCTTGAGGGCAGGAAACAGGTCTTAGTCATCTTTGTTTCTAAAGTGCCCAGAATGCCTCTGGAGTAAAATGAATAGTAAAAGTTTCTTGCATTATATTAAGCATGGCACTGAAAAATCAGTGATTGGCTCTAAATTGCATTTAATAACTGCTAGCCCAGTATTCTAATACATATTACTGCTTTCTCCAGAGACACCCCTGCTCTTTAAAACAAACAAAAACCACAAACAGGTTCTTTTTTGTTACAGAGAAAGGTCTTGTTGGCAGCCTTGTACCCAACCCTATTTTATAACTGAAAAATGGAAAGTTGTTTATAATACATATGTGCACTACTTAATCTCTGGCATTTGTGTTTGCAAGCTAACATGCTGTCTATTGCATTTGAACAGCTGTAACATATGTGATACGATTTCTTAATAAGTCATTTTCTTGAGCAATGGAAATATTGCTGAAGTAGTAGTCCAGCTTATTAAGTTGTACTTTTAGACCCTTGGGTTTTAAACATAATCAATTACCTATAATTCTGTATTTGAGAAAGATTGTGAAGATAGCATTATAAACTGTTTTGGAGGTAACAGAAATTCTTTTTTTTTTTGATGTGCAAAAATAGAGGGGTGCTTACAACTGTGTTTAATTGGCTGTAAAGTCTTACAAATTTTCTCACCCAAAAGGAAGGCTGAAAATGAACATTTATGCATGGTAAGTAGCCTTTTGAACCCAAGGTGACTTAATCAACAGTCAAATCAATTGTTGCTTCGCATCATGACATTGTTTAATATTCTACATGTAGAATATATATAGTTTTTAAAAAATAAATATCCACAGGAGATTGCTGGTACTGATTGTTCCCAGAGCCAATGAAAGTCTTTTTGTTCTTTTATTGTATGTTTGTTGACAATTGTGATCAACATGGAATGAACTGCTTTACAGTTTATTACTTTCAAAGTACAAATTTGAATGCTGTGGATTCAGATGTATAAAAGAGATAAAATTACAGACAGCTTTGAGTGGCAGTTACATATCAAACCTCACGGGGGTTTGACAGGCAACGAATATCGTTATTAGACGCTTTTTCCATAATTGCTGACATTTATCCAGTGTTTCACAGTATTTGCTAATGTATTAATGCAGTCAATCTCTGAGAGGCTGCACATGCCTTTTTAGCCCTGGCTTTTATGGGATTCTGAAATTCATAGACCCACAGATACTTATTCCCTGCTGGTTGCCGTAGTGACAGAGCTCAGAGATAAGCCAAGACAGAGCCCTTTTGTGATTGCTTTTCAGGTGACATTCAGCGGCAGCTTGAGTAGAGTGTCCTTTTATAGTTCCTGTAATTCAGAAAATGATAACAGCTTTTTGCTGCTTAGAAGAGAAGTCTGTGGACTGCTCCCCTTGGGATTTTGTTTTGCTGTGCCACTTCATACCAACACCAGCCTGATAAAGTTCTTATTATTGTGGAGATTTCAAAGTGCAAGGAGATGGAATTAATTATGACAGGTTAGAAGATACAGGACTGATTTTACGAATAAAACTTTAAAGAATCAATACATGTTCGCCAACCATATGTAACAAGTTAATTTGGACATTTTAAGCTATTAGTGGCAATACAGTTAGCCACTTGTTTAATAAGTAAATGCACCCAACTTCTAAATTGCTTGTGAACCCTGCTGGCTGTTCCATCCAAAGTGCAGAAATTATCTTTCAGTTCTGTTACCATTTTCTCATTTGAAACTATTGCTTCAACATTTTGTTGTTTAGAGGCAAGTAGCTTTATTTTAACATTTTCTTGGTTGGGGTATTTATAATTTCACTATTCTCAGCATTGCAATAATTAAAAATAGATAATTTAAAAATAGCACCTTATCTGAATTGCTTCAAATTCAGAAGAAAACACCTGTGATGATGGAGAAGAACACTGAGAAGGAAAGCAGTTCGAGAAATAACTAGAGAAAATAGAATTTTACCTGGAAAGATCATAGAGGAGGTCATAAGAAGCCAATACTTTCACCTAGACTGTTAAAGCTAGGAGAGTTATTAATCTTAATTCTGGAAGAAGAAGAACACCACAAACAATGCATAAGTGTGGGACACCTTGAGAGCTGGAAACCACTGTCTGGGTAGCTGATGTTATTGAGAAAGAGGCAAAAGACCAAAAACAAAATAAAACAAAAAATGTCAAGAAGAATCGGAGACACTACCCCAAATTGAACCATGCGAATCTGCTGGGAGATAGGAAGCATTTAGATATCTTACCCCTAAAGTGTAAATGTAATTCACAGTTAAACTGGAAGCAAGTAGAATGAACTAAATAGAGAAGTAACTTGAGAATCTGAAGAGATTAAAAAGAATAGATGTGTTCCCAATTTCTAATAGATGTGTTCCTGATTTATTGATGAACAAGCATATGGATTGCACATGAATGAGGGTTCAGAAGAGCAATTTGGCTTAATAAAAGCCAATCAGTTATCTTGAATTAGATGTTCAGTTGAAAACTGGAGATCTGATTTGTGTTACTCGTTTCTAACCTTTCAGTCTTATTTAGAATAGATGTAAGCTAAACTCTCATAAAATTCAAATATTTGTAATTCAGACTAAGAAAGGTAACCTTCAGACTAGTGACAAATATGACATTTTCAAATGATATTTAGTAGACCTTTATTAACACTCTGTTACCCTATAGTGTTCATCGTACCCCTTACTTCTTATTGTTAACTTAATCATCAGTCATTTGCTTTGATATACAGTAGTCCCCCTTATTCTCAGGTGATAGATTTAAAGACTGTAGTGAATGCCTGAAACTACTGATAATACCAACCTCTGTATATACTATGTTTTTTCATATACATGTACATCTGTAGTAAAGTTTAATTTGTAAATTAGGCACAATAAGAAATTTGCAACAATAATAGTAAAACAGGACAATCATTTTAATAATAAAATCAAACACTTATTTCAGAGGATCCCTTGCTGAAATCTTCATATAGGTTCAATGCTTTCTGGTGCAACACATGACCATTCATTGGAAAATATTTTCTGTTTATGTTTTTCACCCACAAATTTAATGCCTTGTTCATCTTAACTAAGCACTTACCACAGACATTGTGGTTGTAACTTTTGCACTTTGGGGTGCAGCAGCAAAACTAGCAGATGTTTCTTTTTCCTTCAAATGCAATTTCACTTATAGAAAACAAGTTCTTTTTGGAGATCTTAGCAACCTCAGCATGATTGTTTTTTCTTATTAAGTCAAGAACTTTCTCCTTTTCACTTAAAGGAAGCACTTTATGGCTTCTCTTTGTCATATCTGAATTGCCAACATCACTACTCTTGAGCTTTGGGGCCATTATTAAGTAAAATAAGGGTAACTTAAACACAAGCACTGTGATACCTTGACAGTCAATCTGATAAATCTGATAAGGTCTACTAAATGACTAATAGGCAGGTTGAGTATACAGCATGGATACACTGGACAAAGGGATGATTTATGTCCTGATGGGGACAGATCTGGCTGGTGCAAGATTTCCTCATGCTACTTAGTATGGCATGCAATTTAAAACATGAATAAATATTAAATTGGGAATAACAAAAATATTTTTGGACCACAGTTGATTGCAGGTAACTAAAACTGTGTATAAGGAGGGACTACTGGAGTTCCATTTCATAACAATGGAACAGGATAGCTAGGAAAAAAATGCGTTTAGACAGTAGAGATAACTGCAGTGTGGCAGAGGAATGGTAGGAGAATGAAAATAGAGGCTGGGCACTGTGGCTCATGCCTATAATCCCAGCACTTTGGGAGGCCGAGGTGGGTGGATTACGAGGTCAGGAGCCTGGCCAAGATGGTGAAACCCCATCTCTACTAAAAATACAAAAATTAGCCGGGCATGGTGGCAGGTGTCCTTAATCCCAGCTACTTGGGATGCTGGGGCAGAGAATTGCTTGAACCGGGATCGTGCCACTGCACTCCAGCCTGGGCGACAGAGTGAGACTCTCAAAAAAAAAAAAAAAAAAAAAAGATATGATACACTAGATATGTAAACTGGAAAGTGAAACCACAGATAAGGGGAGACTACGATATTAAACAAAAGAGGAAAAAGAGATTTGTAAGAATTGTATTATTATATGATACACTTTTCAATACTGTGGTTATCCATTTAAAGGGACTTTCCCAGAATTTTGTCATCCACTGAGAAGGTCTTTAATATTATGTCATTCCCTCAGTGTTTTAGAATACTTAACTATCAGTTTATAATTGCTACTAAAAACAAAATAAGAAAGCAAACAAAATTATGCAACCTATAGAATAGGGGGAAAGGGCATATAGTCTCAAAAAATGTGGGGAGACTGCATGTTAAAAAACGGTTATATTTAGGGAATTGGCTCTTTTTACTAACATGGCAACTTATTCCTGAATCCAGAAGTTCAAAAATGCTATCATAGTTCTTACCTATGATATTTATCTATTTTCAGATGTTTGTAAATTTCAGATGTAATGAAAATTAGCCTTTTACAGTATGACATCACAAGTTTTGAAGTGAGCACTAAAATCGCTTTTTGAATTTTAGTTTAATGCAAAATATGTCTTACAACTAAACATGGAGTATTTTTGTGACTTGACTCCAGGGAACCAAAATAAATTTTTACATGAACTGTAACCATTCTCTTGACTTCTGTATTATCTTTGCTTTATTAATAAATAATTAGTAACAGGAACAATATTTAAACAATATTTATGTATCTTACTTTGTTCTAGGCATTTTGCTGAACGTCGATATGTTTTTTTTTTTGAGACAGAGGCTCGCTCTGTCGCCAGGCTGGAGTGCAGTGGCGTGATCTCGGCTCACTGCAACCTCCGCCTCCCAGGTTCAAGCGATTCTCCTGCCTCAGCCTCCTGAGTAGCTGGGATTACAGGCATGTGCCACTATGCCTGGCTAATTTTGTATTTTTAGTAGAGATGGGGTTTCTCCATGTTGGTCAGGCTGGTCTTGAACTCCTGACTTCAGGTGATCTGCCTGTCTCGGCCTCCCAAAGTGCTGGGATTACAGGCGTGAGCCACTGCACCTGGCCTTATATGTTTTATCTTTAATCTTCACGTTAATCAATCCCGAAGGGTAGATGTTATTATCCCCACATTTACACATTAAGGAACTGAGGCTTAGGGTGGTTTAACAACTTGTTGAATAACACAGAAAGAAGGGGTATTGAAAAGGGATCTTGACCCGTGTTTGACTAAAGGCTACCTCTTTTTACTATACCATAAATTATTTCTCTGTGAACCTTAAATCCCAAGTTCTTATCCTTTCTTTCCTAGCATAGTTCCCCAATTTTACCTATTATGCACAGTCAGAGATTTTCCTTAAAGAATCTTATCTGGAGGCCAGGCACGGTGGCTCACACCTGTAATCTCAGCACTTCAGGAGGCCGAGGCAGGCAGATCACTTGAGGTCAGGAGTTCGAGACCAGCCTGACCAATATGATGAAACCCTGTCTCTATTAAAATACAACACTTAGCTGGGCGTGGTGCCATGCACCTATAATTTCAGCTACTTGGGAGGCTGAGACAGGATAATCACTTGAACGCGGGAGGCGGAGGTTGCAGTGAGCCGAGATCGCACCATTGCACTCCAGCCTGGGAAACAAGAAAGAGTGAAACTCCGTCTCAAAAAAAAAAAAAAAAAAAAAGCATCTATCTGGATCTATAAGATTGATCTTTTTGCCTTAAGCTCATGCCTCTCTGGGAATAACAATAATAGATATCACTTAAAAATATTTATTATATACAAGGCATTAGTCTAATACACATATAATAACTCATTTAACCTTCCCAGCAACCCTATGAGCTGAAGGCTATTATTCACCCCATTTTACAGTTGAGCAAACTGAATTATATTGATATGACCACATAAATAATAAGTAGCAGTGGGATTTGAACCCCCAAAGAATGGCCTTACCACACTATGTGCCTCTCTTAGTAGTAGAAGATCAGTGACAGGATGTCTGTGAAAACCTGTCATCTGTGTTCTTTAGGTGAATAATGTTCACTGGGTAGCAACTCATGATGAGCATGCTACACATTGTGGCCATAGTTCCATTTTTATGGAATGTGAGATGAAAACGGTAACTAGGTCTTTCTGTAATTTACTGTGAAGTGTGACTACTGTGTGCACCTGTTTGACAATTCTTTTAGTTGCATTGGTCTAGAGACAGTTGACAAGTTTAATCACTTTTAAGCTTTTGACATCCAAGAAGGAGAAGGTATTGTCCTTCTAGCCTTTTTCATCTCTAAAACTGTTAGCCAAGGGTTTACTAATTGATCCATAAAACTTAAGAAATGATATTAAATATCCCCAGTTAAACATGAAGATAAAAGGCTAGGTACTTTAAAATTTGTCCAAGGCCGCAGAGACAGGATTAAAACTTGGGAGCTCCTTATACTGAACATTAGAGTATTGCCACTGACCAAAATCCTACAGTTTCAAATCAGATAGCTGTGTGTAGAAAAAGAGCAATGAATATGGGGACAGAAAATGTTGTTTCTAGTTCAGGCTGAGTAAAATAAGTTTCTTCACCTGTGTTCTGTACCCCATCACCTTCTATTTTCTCAGGAAACATATGTTATCAATAATATCTAATATATTTTTTCTTTGATCTCATTGTACTAGAAATTCTGTTCACATTTAAACATGGCAAGTCTCTCATCTTAACAGAAACACACACGCATACACACACACAGAAACATAAACATACCATTAAAGCAAAACCAAGAAATCCTCCCTGACTTTAGCTACTACTTTCTCTTCTCTTTACAGCCAAAATTCAGAGTTATCTGCAGTTATTATCTCAATTTTTTTCCTTCTACTTATTCGTCAACTCATGCCATTCTGGCTTTCAATTTGTTTCTCCACCAGAATAGCTTTTCTTTAGGTACGAATGACTGCCATGTTGCTAAATCAAGTAGACTTTCAGTCTTCACTGTTCTTGACTTCTTAGCAGCATTTAAAAAAAAAAATGTTTTGTTGAAAACAATTAGGAAAATACACAAATCATGAATGTACAATTTGATGAATTTTTAAAAGTAAATACTGCCATGTAGCCAGCATCCAGATTAAGAAAGAAAACATTTTAAAGTATCCCAGAAGCCCCCCCTCACATTCCCTTTATCCAAAAGATAAGACCATAGATTAGTTTTGCCTGGTTTTGAACATTATATATTATGAATCATGCGGTATGTACTATTTGTCTCTTTCACTCCCTCCTTTCTTCCTTTCCTTCCTTCTTTGTCCAACCTTCCGTTTATGAGATGGATCCATATTTTTCTATGTAGTTATAGCTCATTCATTCTCAGTGCTTTATTATATTCCATTGTGTGGATATTTCACCCGTTTATCTGTTCTACTATTGATGAGGCAGGCATTTAGATAGTTTTCACTTCTGGGCTATTTAAAATACTTTCTAGGAGCATTTGAACCTGTTGAAAACTCCTTCCTGAGACGCTTTTTCATTTGGCTCCTAGTTTCTCCTTTTCTATCTCCTTTGCAAGCTCATCCTTCTTTACCCTGTCACTAAATATAGGAGTTCTTTAAGACTCAGTTCCATGTACTCATGTCTTCTCACTTAGTATCTTCTTCCTAGGTATTCTTTATCATATCTACAATTTAAATTATCACTCATGTGAGATTGTTAACAAATTTATATTTCTAGCCTCATCTTCTCATGTTAGCTCCAGAAGAGCCTTCTTATCATCTTCACTTAGAGGTCCCAAAGGAACTAAAATTTACCATATCCAAAATTGAATTCATATTATTCCCTGCGCATGCCTGATCTTCTTCTTAAGTATTCTAATTCCATGAATGGCATCACAATCCATCCAGTTCCACAAGCAAGATAAGAGTTATTCTTAATTTCTCTCTGTCTTGCTGACTTTATGTAAATCATCATCAATTCCTGTCCATTTTAGCTCCTACATATCTCCCATTCATTCACTTCTATTTCCACTGCCACTACCCCAATATAAGATACCAACTTTTCATTGTGGACTGTTTATTGCAGAAGTTTCCAAATTGGGCTTCTATATTTACTCTCACTTCCCCTCAATCAACTCTCCGTACTATATCAGAATAACACTTTTTAAAAGAGATATAAATCTACTCAAGTAATCTCCCTGCTTAAATCTTCCCATGTAAAGACCGGACCCCTTAATATGACTAACCAGGCACTGCATAGTCTGATTCTTGCTTACTTCTGCAAAGTAGTCTTACTTCTTGCTTACTTCTTTAGTGTTATCTTATATTTTATTGCCTCTTGTTCTCTGTTCACTAGCTACACTGGTCTGAGAGTTCTTCTGAGGTACCATCATTGGGGCTTTTTATCCTGTTCCCTGATATATCCTGTATAATTCTTATTCTTTCAACTCAAACATTTCTTCATGGAAGCTGTCCTTTTATTGCATTTACAGTTGTGATTTTATATTTTATTTAGGGATTATTTCCTATTTTATACCATATGTTCCACAAGGGCATATGTCTGTTTTTGTTCATTATTGCATACCTAATCCCTTTGGATAGTAGGTGCTCAATAAAGATTGTTTGAATGAATAAACCTCTCTAAAACTCAGTTTCCAATTCTTAACAACTGTGACATTGTTGTCAGTTTAAATAAGATGACATATTTGGAAACACATCTGAAAATATAACACAATAACAAAATTTAAGGAATTGGGATCATTATACCCAAGCAGATAGATTCTTCCTACTGAAGATTATAATTATTTAATTTAACTTTGATTTTGGAATATGCAAAAACATGACAACAAGTATGGTTTCAGCTCTTTTGATCTATTGATCTGTCTCTCCTGTAGTTCCACCATTCTTACCATAGTTTAGACTCTTATAACTTTCTCCTGATTTCCCTGTTTCAGATCTTTCTGTCTTACTTCCCTCACTCCATTCTCCAGAACTTGAGGAATGTGAGTTATCTTATTAAATGCATTTGCATCTTATTACTTGCTTGCTTCAAATCTCTCAGTGGTTTCCCGTTGCCTACAAGATAATGTCTAAACTCCTTAATGGAACATATTTGACTGTTCATAATCTGATCAGTGCCTCCCTTCCTACCTGTGTTCCTCACCATTTTGTGCCTTACCTGGCCTCCAACCACTCTAAACTACTTGTTTCTTAGATGTGTTACCTTTTTTCTTGCCATTATGCATATCATTTCTTTCTCTTCTAAGGTGCTTACACTCCGCCTACCCTCCTCTTTAATTAAATCATCCTTTAAGACTCAGCTGACACTCCTTTGTGACATTTCTCTTGAAGTCTTCAGGCAAAGTTAGACATTATCTCTTCTTGTACTACCAAAGCATTGATTGTGGGACTTAACCACATTGGTAAAATTAGTTACACTTCTTGTGTATAAGTTTATTCACTACTGTTTGTGAACCCCTCAAAAGCAAGAATACCATTCTTTTTCTCTCTCTATCCTTAGGTACATAGTAGATACTTAATATTTGTTGACAGGATGATTAGAGAAGAATGCCCAGAAGAAATGAGGAATGGCCAGATTTTAAGGTGTGAGAAGTTGTATCAGAACAAATTTATGCTGTAGTAGTGGATTCCCTGTATTGTTGTTAAGAGTGTAGGATTCTCTGCCGGGAGCGGTGGCTCACGCCTGTAATCCCAGCACTTTGGGAAGCTGAGGTGGGTGGATCATCTAAGGTCAGGAGTTCGAGACCAGCCTGACCAACATGGTGAAACCCCGTCTTTATTAAAATACAAAATTAGCTGGGCGTGGTGGTGCACGCCTGTAATCCCAGCTACTCGGGAGGCTGAGGCAGGAGAATCTCTTGAACCTGGGAGGCGGAGGGTTCAGTGAGCCGAGATCATGCCATTGCACTCCAGCCTGGGCAACAAGAGCAAAACTGCTTCTCAAAAAAAAAAAAAAAAAAAAAGAGTGTGGGATTCTAGTGCTGTATAAAAGGGAGAGTTAAACCTGATTTCACTTTGAATGGAGAAGGTTAACAATCACATGTTTTTATTGCACATCTACTTATGACAGTTGGATTCTACTTTGGGGTCTTGTAAGTCACACCAAGGGAATATATGTGAAAAGTTAGAGATATGGTAATGCTGTTCTTATTTAGTGCATAGGATAAGCCTAGTTAGAAAATGTTGGAGAAATAAAATCAATTATCTATTTTTCCTTTTTTGTTTTCCTTTTCATATGTTGAAGCCCTCTGTTTTTCAGTTTTAAAATCCTTTCATATAGATTAACTCATTTTTTTCATATCTGCTTAATCAGGCAAAGGAGTTATTGTTTTTGTTTGTTTTGTTTACAAATAAGGAAACTGAGATTCAGAGAGATAAATTACTTTTGCAAGAACACTAGAAAGTTTGAAAGTTGGCCGGGCGCGGTGGCTCACGCATGTAATCCCAGCACTTTGGGAGGCCGAGGCGGGCAGATCACAAGGTCAGGAGTTCGAACCAGCCTGGCCAGCACAGTGAAACCCTATCTCTACTAAAAAATACAAAAAATTAGCTGGGCGTGGTGGCTGGCACCCATAATCCCAGCTACTTGGGAGGGTGAGGCAGGAGAATCGCTTGAACCCAGGAGGTGAAGGTTGCAGTGAGCTGAGATCACGCCACTCCACCCCAGCCTGGGCGACAGAGATAGACTGCATCTGAAAAAAAAAGTTCGAAAGTTGTGTCTGGACTAGGACTAGTCATTTCTACTTGACTGCCTGCCACGGAACTACGTGGTCTTTCTAGTGGCAACACTAGCATACAGTGCCATTTGTATTTGTGGTTCTTCTTCTTCTTTCTTCTTTCTTCTTCTTCTTTCTTCTTCTTCCTTCTTCTTCCTCTTCTTCCTCTTCTTCTTTCTTCTTCTTCTTCTTTCTTTGTTTTTTTTTGAGACAGGGTCTCGCTCTGTCACCCAAGCTGGAGTGCAGTGGTGCAATCACAACTCACTGCAGCCTTGCCTCCTGGCTCCTGGGCTCCCACTTCAGCTTCTTGGGTAGTTGTGACTACAGGCGCATACCACCATGCCTGCCTAATTTTTTGTATTTTTTGTAGAGACAGGGTTTTGCCAAGTTGCCCAGCCTGGTCTTGAACACCTGGGCTCAAGTGATCCTCCCACCTTGGCCTCTCAAAGTGCTGGGATTACAGGCATGAGCTACCACACCTGGCCTCATTTGTGCTCTGGTTTATGAGGAATTTTTTTAAACCTGAGCCAAAATTTCTTTTTCTTTTCTTTCTTTCTTTTTTTTTTTTTCAAGACAGAGTCTCACTCTGTTGCCTAGGCTGGAGTGCAAGTGGCACGATCTCAGCTCACTGCAACTTGCCCTCCACCTGCCGGGTTCAAGCAATTCTCCTGCCTCAGCCTCCCGAGTAGCTGGGACTACAGGTGCACGCCGCCACACCCAGCTAATTTCTTTGTATTTTAGTAGAGACAGGGTTTCGCCATGTTGCCCAGGCTGGTTTCGAACTCATGAGCTCAGGCAGTCCACCCGCCTTGGCCTCCCAAAGTGCTAGGATTACAGGTGTGAGCCACCACGCCTGTCCTAACCTGAGCCAAAATTTCTAAAAATTCCCAAACTACACTCAAAATGGAAGATTGTCTCCCAAATGCCACAGTTTTAATGAATGAATATAATCTAGCAGTGTCCTCAAATGCTCTTTACTTCATATGGGCTGATTTGAACTCGATGCACTTATTGAGCTTATTGATACTTGAGGATCTGAGGAAATGAAGCAATACAGGTAAAGTTCAGTAAAGTTGGGAACCGGTGAGAACAGGGTCATGGTGTAGGAGAAGATGATATTAGTGAGCCCTAGGGAGCAAAAACTAGGGTACAGTATGGGATTACCACCAAGTGCAAGATAATGAGGGAGAGAATCAGGTCCTAGAGGAAGATTTGAGGAATAAGGGTAGAATCTAAAAGAAACTTCAAGCTACCTCTCATTTATGACCAATTGTGCCTACCACTGCTTCCTGGTGTGCACAGGTATACTATCAAACGTTCTCCAGAGAAGCCAAATTCCCCTACTCCTCACAGTATTTTCAGGGATATCCCACTTTAGTAAAGAGGAGGTCATAGTAGGTGTCCAATAAATACTGGAATCCTCTCTGTTCCTCTTTACCATCCTCCCCACCCCCAAGTCCAAGATTTCCCTTAACTCTGAAATTTTATGATTCTGTAAAATTCTAATACATGTCCTTCAGCAAATGAAATGGATCAATTAAAAACAGGTAAATTTCAAGTAATATTAGATTCCTGGATGACAATTGTACTAATATCCTTTAAAAGTAACTCTCAAGAGAGTGGATGAGATAGCTAACTAAATGCGGCCTGGAAGTGCCACTTCTACCGAGAGAGACCAAATCATCAAGTCAGCATAATTTGGGCAACTCTTAGGAGAGAAAATGCCAAGAGTGGCTGGTGAGGAGATGCTGAAGCCAAGGCTGAAAAGGGAGGAAGCTGGGAACCTTGTGTGGAGTATCTGAATGCTGGTGCTAGTTCTTGGCCCTGAATAGCTTTTGGGAAAGGGGTGTATTAAGGAAATGAGGGATAGCTCACTCTTGCCACAGACCAGCCTAGCTACGGCGGACCCTTTATCCTCCATGGACATGTGAGCTGGCAGGGTAATCTTTCTTTTTTTTTTCTTTTTATTTTTTTTTTTTTGAGATGGAGTCTCGCTCTGTTGCCCAGGCTGGAGTGCAGTGGTGTAATCTCGGCTCACTGCAACCTCCACCTCCCGAATTCAAGTGATTTCCTGCCTCAGCTTCCTGAGTAGCTGGGATTACAGGCACCTGCCACCATGCCCGGCTAATTTTTGTATTTTTAGTAGAGACTGGGTTTCACCATACTGGCCAGGCTGGTCTCGAACTTCCGACCTCAGGCCATCCGCCTGCCTTGGCCTCCCATAGTGCTGGGATTACAGGCGTGAGCCACTGTGCCTGGCCAGCAGGGGAATCTTTCTAGGGAGCAAGACAGACAGGAGTGTGGTCGGCATGGAGCCCAGGAGCTTTTGTGTGCTGGTCAGCTCTGGCAGAGATTAGCCATAGACACCCACCCTCCAGGGCTCCTCATCTTCCTCTAGGAGGTGCTGGCCCCAGGTAACCTCCAACCTAAGAAAGATCGGGGCTGGGCCAGGTGCAGTGCCTCACTCCTGTAATCTCAGCACTTTGGGAGGCCGAGGTGGGTGGATCACCTGAGCTCAGGAGTTCGAGACCACCCAGGGCAACATGGTGAAACCCTGTCTCTATTAAAAATACAAAAAAATTAACTGTGTGGTGGTGCGCCCCTGTAGTCCCAGGTATTTGGGAGGCTGAGGCAGGAGAACCACTTGAGCCCCAGAGGCGAAGGTTGCAGTGAGCTGAGATCCCGCCACTACACTCCAGCTTGGGCTACAGAGTGAGACTCCATCTCAAAAAAAAAAAAAAAAAAAAAAAAAAGAAAAAAAGAAAGATCGGGGCTAACTTCCCCGTAAGACTGGGGCATATCTGCAAGCCCTCCTGCTCACTGGCTCCTGCGAAGGCCCATTCCTAGCTGCCTTGCAGGAGCGTGTACACAGCACCCCCTTTGCAGCCCAGCCAGAGTGCATTGTTCCACCTGAGTATTTTCCCAGTGACTCAGGAGCACATCAGAAACCCCAGCACAGCCATAACCCCACCCTGAGCTGTGGGACTTCCTGGTACTTCCAGGGCTGTGGCATGTAGCTTAGGAGTATGGAGCCAAGATCTAAGACCAACACTTGAGCAGGGGAGGAGCCCCCACCATCAGAGGACTGAGAACTAGGGTAGGAGCAGGGTGTGCCTCCCTCCACAGGGCTGGTCCGGAAAGTGTGCGGCATATCTCCCTGCTCCAGCCTCTGCCTGAGGGGGCCCCATGGCCCGGAACACCTAACAAAAGAAAATGCAGGCACAGTGCCAGTGACTGGAGGGGGCACCCCCAAGGCTCAGAAGCAGACCTGGTGAGGGAGCCATCTCCTCCCCTCCCACACCACAGAGCACACCTGAGAATGCAAGAAAGTACAAAAGATCTATGTGGCTGGATATTTGCCTAGCTACTGGCCATTACTCTTAAGCACCATCTACTGGATCGCAGCTCAAACTGCAAAAACAAAAATTATCCTGCTAATATATACACCTGTGAAACCAAGTGCAAGAATTCACCCACACATAAAGAATCAACACAAGAACTCTCGCAGTTGAAAAAGCCAGTGTCCCCTTACCTCCAGACAAGTCCACTAGTTTCCCAACAATGGTTCTTAACCATTCCAAAATGACTGCAATGACAGACACAGAATTGAGAATCTGGATGTCAACGAAGTGCATTGAGATTCAGGAGAAAATTGAAACCCAATCCAAGGAATCTAGCAAAATGATCCAAGAGCTGAAAGATGAAATAGTCATTTTAAGAAAGAACCAAACTGAATTTCTAGAGCTGCTAAGTTTACTACAAGAATTTCATAATACAATACAAGTATGAACAACAGAATAGACCAAGAGGAGGAAAGACTCTCAGAGCTCAAAGACTGGTTCTTCAAATCAACTCATTCAGACAAAAATAAAGAAAAAATTTAAAACAATGAACAAAACCTCCAAGAAATGTGGGATTATGTTAAGAGACCAAATCTAGGCTGGACACGGTGGCTCACGCCTATAATCCCAGCATTTTGGGAGGCCGAGGCGGGCGGATCATGAGGTCAGGAGTTCGAGACCAACCTGGCCAACATAGTGAAACCCTGTCTTTACTAAAAATACAAAAATTAGCCAGGCGTAGTGGTGGGCACCTGTAGTCCCAGCTACTTGGGAAGTTGAGGCAGGAGAATCGCTTGAACCTGGAAGGCAGAGGTTGCAGTGAGCCGAGATTGTGCCATTGCACTCCAGCCTGGGAGACAGAGCAAGACTCTGTCTCAAAAAAAAAAAAAAAAAGAGAGAGAGAGACCAAATCTACTATTCATTGGCATTTTTAAGAGAGAAGGAGAGAGAATAAGCAACTTGGAAAATATATTTGAGGATATAGTCCATGAAAATTTCCCTAATCTCACTACAAAAATTGATATGCAAATCCAGGAAATACAGAGAACCCTGGTTAGATACTATATGAGACGACCATCCCCAAGGCATGTACTCATCAGATTCACCAAGGTCAATGTAAAAGAAAAAATCTTAAAGGCAGCTAGAGAGAATGGTCAAGTCATATACAGAGAGAACCCAATCAGGCTAGACAACCCCATTAGCAGCAGGCCTGTGAGCACAAACCCTACAAGCTAAAAGAGATTTGGGGCCTATATTCAGCATCCTTAAATAAATTTCAACCAAGAATTTCATATCCCAGCAAACTAAGCTTTATAAGTGAAGGAGAAACAAAATCCTTCTCAGACAAGCAAATGCTGAGGGAATGTGTTTCAAATAGACCAGCCTTATAAGAGGTCCTTCTGGGAGTACTAAACTTGGAATCAAAAGAATGATACCACTACAACAAACACACACTTAAGCACATAGCCCACAGACACTGAAAAGCAATTATACAATCAGGTCTACATAGCAGCCAGCTAACACCACAATGACAGGATCAAAATCACATATATCAGTACTAACTTTGAATATAAATGGGCTAAACGCCTCACTTAAAAGACACAGAATGACAAACTGAATAAAAAGATAAGACCCAACCATCTGTTGTGTTCAAGAGACACATCTCACACATAATGACACCCACAGTCTCAAAGTAAAGGGATGGAGAAAGATCTACCACGCAGAAATAAAACATAATAGAGCAAGGGGCCAGGTGTGCTGGCTCACACCTGTAATCCTAGCACTTTGGGAGTCCAAGGCTGGTGAATTACATGAGGTCAGGAGTTCGAGACCAGCCTGGCTAACATGGTGAAACCTTGTCTCTACTAAAAATACAAAAATCAGCCGGGCATGGTGGTATGGTGGTGCACGCCTGTAATCCCAGCTACCCAGGAGGCTGAGGCAGAAGAATCGCTGGAACCCAGGAGGCAGATGCTGCAGTGAGCTGAGAGTGTGCCACTGCACTCCAGCCTGGGCGACAGAGTGAGACTCTGTCTCAAAAAAAAAAAAAAGCAAGCTTTGCTATTCTTATATTCGATAAAACAAATGTTAGTAAAAATTAAGAAGGACAATAAAGGGCCTTATGTAATGATAAAGGGTACAGCACAACAGGAAGACTTAACTATCCTAAATATATGCTCACCCAGCATTGGAGCACCCAGATTCATAAAACAAGTTTTTGGCATTAAAAAAGATTTAGGTGGCCGGGCGCGGTGGCTCATGCCTGTAATACCAGCACTTTGGGAGGCCGAGGCAGCCTGATCACCTGAGGTCAGGAGTTCGAGACCTGCCTGGCCAACATGGTAAATCCCCATCTCTACTGAAAATACAAAAAAAAAAAAAAAAAAAACTCTAAAAACTACACAAACAGATGGATATTAAACAACTTGCTCCAGAATAACTCCTGAGTGAACACCAGTATTAGCGAAAATTACCAAAATCTCTGGGATGCAGCTAAAGCAGTGTTAAGAGGAAAGTTTATAGCTCTAAACACCCTCATTAATTAGTTAGAAAGCTCTAAAATTAACAATTTAACATTAAACCTAAAAAAACTAAAAGAACAAATAAACCCCAAAGCTAGCAGAAGAAAAGAACCAAAATTGGAGAAGTGCATGATGAAATTGAGATGCAAACATCCATACAAAAGATGAAAACAAGAGTTGGCTCTTCGAAAAAATAAGCAAGATTGATAGACTACTAGCTAGATTAACAAAGGAAAAAAGAGAAGATCTAAATAAATACAATCAGAAATGACAAAGATGACATTACAACTGATTCCACAGAAATACAAAAGATCTTCATAGTACTATGAACAACTCTATGCACACAAATTAGAAAATTTGGAGGAAATAGAGAAATTCCTGGAAACACACAATCTCCCAAGGTTGAATCAGGAAGAAATTGAATCCCTGAATAGACGAGTATCAAGCTTTGAAATTGAATAAATAATAAAAAACTTGCCAACCAAAAAAAGCACTGGACCAGATGGAGTCACAGCTGAATTCTGCCAGACACCTAAAGAAGAACTGGTATCAGTGCTACTGAAATTATTAAAAAAAAAAAAAAAAAAACAGAAGAGGAGGGACTCCTTCCCTAGCTCATGCTGTGAGGCCAGCGTCACCCTAATACTATAATCTGGCAGAGACCATAAAGAAAGAGAAGTAAGGCCAATATCTCTGATGAACAAAGATGCAAAACTCCTCAATAAAATACTAGCAAACTGAATCCGGAAGCACCTCAAAAACTTAATTCGCCACAGTTAAGTAGGCTTTATCCCTGGGATGCAAAGTTGGTTTAACATACACAAATCAATAAATGTGATTCACCACATAAACAGAATTAAAAGCAAAAACCATATGATCATCTCAATAGACGCAGTAAAAGCTTTTGATAAAATCTGAACATCACTTCTTGATAAAAACCCTCAACAGATGAGGCATTGAAGGAACATATCTCAAAATAATAAGAGCCATCTATCATTAACCACAAACCCACAGCTAACATTATACTGAATGGACAAAAGCTGGGACCATTTCCCTTGAGAACTGGAACAATACAAGGATGCCTACTCTCACCACTCCTATTTAACATAGTACTGAAAGTCCTAGCCACAGCAATCAGGCAAGAGAAAGAAATGAAAGGCATCCAAATGGAAAAAGAAGTCAAACTGTATCTCTTTGCTGATGATATGATTCTATACCTAGAAAACCCTAAGGACTCTGCCAGAAGCTCCTAGAACTGATAGACAATTTAGCAAGGTTTCTGGATATAAAATCAATGTACAGCCTGAGTGCGGTAGCTCATGCCTGTAATCCTAGCACTTTGGGAGGCAGAGGTGGGCAGATCACTTGAGGTCAGGAGTTTGAGACCAGCCTGGCCAACATGGCCAAATCCTGACTCTACTAAAAATACAAAAATTAGCTGGGCATGGTGGCGCATGCTTGTAATCCCAGCTACTCAGGAGACTGAGGCACAAGAATCACTTGAATCCAGGAGGTGGAGGTTGCAGTGAGCCAAGATTGTGCCACTGTACTTTAACCTGGGCAACAGAGTGAGACTCTGTCTCAAAAAAAAAAAAAAAAATCAGTATACAAAAATCAGTAGCATTTCTATACACCAGTAACACCCAGGCTGAGAGTCAAACTAAGAACACAATCCCATTTACATTAGCCACAAAGAAAATGAAATACCTAGGAATACAACTAACCAAGGAGGTGGAAGATCTCTAAAATGAGAACTACAAAACACTGCTGAAAGAAATCAGAGATGACAAATAAATGGAAAAACAATTCATAGTCATGCATTGGAAGAATCAGTATCATTAAAATGGCCACAGTGACAAAGGCAACATACAGATTCTGTGTTATTCCGATCAAACTACCAATGTTACTTTTCACTAAACTAGAAACAAAAATTCTAAAATTAATATGGAACCTAGAAAGAGCCTGAATACCCAAAGCAATACTAAGCTGAAAGAACAAAATGGGACTTCAAACTAAAGTGTAAGGCTACAGTAACCAAAATAGCATGGTATTGATACAAAAACAGACACATAGACCAATGGAACAGAATAGAAGACTCAGAAATAAAGTCACTTACCTACAACCATCTGATTTTTGACAAGGCCAACAAAACAAGCAATGTGGAAAGGACTCCCTTTTCAATAAATGTGCTGGGATAACTGGCTAGCCATATGCAAAGGAATGGAACTAGGCACCTTAAATTTTATAATATACAAAAATTATCTCAAGATGGATTAAAGATTTAAATGTAAAACCTCAAACTATAAAAATCCCAGAAGAAAACGTGGGAAATACCCTTCTCAATAAGGGCCTTGGCAAAGATTTTTTTGGCTTAGTCCCCAAAAACAGTTGCAACAAAAACAAAAATTGACAAGTAGGACCTAATTAAACTAAAGAGCATCTGCACAGAAAAATAAACTATTGACGGAGTAAATGACATACAGAATGGGAGAAAATACTTTCAAACTCTACATCCAACAAAAATTCTATATCCAAAAATCTGTAAGGAACTGAAACAAACAAGCAGAAAACAAGCCCATTAAAAAATGGATAAAGGATATAAACAGACATTTCTCAAAAGAAGACATATAAGCAGCTAACAAACATATGAAAAAATGCTAATCATCAGAGGAATGCAAATTAAAACCACAATGAGATACCATCTCACACCAGACAAAATGACTATATTAAAAAGTCAGAAAACAGTAGATGCTGGCAAGACTGCATAGAAAAGGGAGCACTTACATACTGTTAGTGGTAATGTAAATTAGTTCAGTCACTATGGAGAGCAGTTTGGAGATTTCTCAAAGAACTTAAATCAGAGCTACCATTCAACCCAACAGTTCCATTACGGGTATATACAGCCCCTCCCCAGCAAATAGATTATTGTACCAAAATGACACTTGCAGTGCTATTCACAATAGCAAAGACATGGAATCAACCTAGGTGGACATCAGTGGTGGATTGGATAAAGAAAATGTGGTACATATACACCATGGAATACTATGCTGCCTGGAAAAAGAATGAAAGCATATCTTTTGCAGCAACCTGGATGGAGCTGGAGGCCATTACCTAAGCTAAGTAATGCACGAACAGACAACCAAACACTGTGTGTTCTCACTTACAAGTGGGAGCTAAACACTGAGCACACATGGGCATAAACATGGGAACAGTAGACACTGTGGACTACTAGAGCAGGGAGGGAGGGTGTGGGTTGTAAAACTACCTATTGGGTAGTATGCTCACTACCTGGGTGCAATATACCCATGTAAAAATCCTGTACATGTACTCCCTGTGTCTAACATAAAAGTTGAAATTTAAAAAATAAAAATAAATCATGCTCACATTCTCATGTCATTTTTTTTCTCATTTTGCTGGGAAACTTTTTTTTTTTTTTTTTTTTGAGACGGAGTTTCGCTGTTGCGGCCCAGGCTGGAGTGCAATGACGCGATCTCGGCTCACTGCAACCTCTGCCTCCCAGGTTTAAGTGATTCTCCTGCCTCAGCCTCCCTAGTAGCTGGGATTACAGGCATACACCATGACGCCCAGCTAATTTTGTATTTTTAGTAGAGATGGGGTTTCTCCATGTTGGTCAGACTGGTCTCGAACTCCTGACCTTAGGTAATCCGCCCACCTTGGCCTCCCAAAGTGCTGGGATTACAGGTGTGAGCTACCGTGCCCAGCCCATTTTGTTTTGTTTTTAAAGGAAGATTTCTAATATTACTATGTGTTGATCAAAATAATTTATAAAATGATTTATTCCCAGTCTCTAGAAAATATTTTGCAGTTTTTGTTTTTTTA